>NW_021159989.1:0-215443 GCF_000001405.40 Homo sapiens | reverse complement strand
CTACCCGCTTGTCTGTCCCCAGTACCCCCAGCGCCTGCTAACAGGGACTCTGTCTTCTGAGCTTTGGCAGACTGCTTCACTCTGGAGAAGTTTGCTTTCTCAAACATTCCTGACAATGTTACTGCAAATCCCTAGGCCTGTGTTTGCCTTCTTCAGGCCTCAGTTTTCTCATAAGTAAAATGGGGATAATGTGATGCTACTGTCTGCATCCTAGAGCTGCCATGAGGGTTCAGTGAGATCACTGTTGAGAGCACGTTCACAGCGCCGCCCTTGTGCGCAGTCAGCACGTGTGGGTCAGGGCTGTTGCTGATACGTTGTTGACTGTCATTGCTAGACTGAGGCTTTACCAGGGGCATTGTCTTTAGTGCCGAGCCCAGAGCCACCCCTAGTACCTGCTGTGTTTATAGAGTGATTGGGTGGCAGGGTCAGAGATGGAGGCAATGGCAGCAGAAACAGAGGAAAGAAGTGGGGCTTCTAATAGGTCCTGAGCCAGTGGCCCTTGAGATGAAGACTTCTTGCCAAGGTCTGGGGCTGTGCTGTGTGTTCTAGGCCCGAGACCGGAAGCTAGGCCTGGCTGCAGCCCCCGCTGAGCTGGGGAAGTGCAGGTCAGCATCCTGCTTCATTAGGACACCTCCAAGCCCAGCTTAGACGTGGATGCCAGGTGACCCCCTGTTCACTCTGAGCCCAGACAGAGGACAGGGAAGTGTGCAATGGTGGGGACCCCCTCATCACAGCCCTTGACTCTGTAAGGTATATGGGTTTGTGCACGTGTGTAAGCACGGCCGTGGCTTCTCTGAGTTTCAAGCTTGAGGATGTGTTTATGCAGGGTAAGGCTTGCCAGGTAAAATACAGGAGGTCCAATTAAACCTGAGTTTCTCATTAACCTTTTTTTTTTTTTTTGGTGCAAATATATCCCATGCAATATTTGGGACCTGCTTACCCTAAAAAATGATTTGTTGTTTATCTGAAATTCAAGTTTAACTGGCATCCTGTCTTTTCACTTGCTACATATGAAAGTTCCGTGTGGGGGTTATCAGTGTGCATTTGCGAGTTCCCATGTGAAGGACTCTCTCCAAGTGTCTGTAGGTGCCAGGATGGAGATGGACAGAGAAGACCCTCTTGGGCTGCTTTAGTGGCACCTAGAGGCTGCGGGGTTGGACACTTCAGCCCCAGGGGCCTAGACAGCACTGTCCAGCACCTGTGTGCTCCTGTCTTCTTCATGGGGGCTGACTTCCCTGCCATCTCTCTCCAAATACGGTGGCAAGAGCTATCCCATCCGCCCCCATCTGGAGCTCGGCTGCCCAGTCAGACAAGATGGCAAACAGTGTGCAGATGGCTGCAAAGCTTTCCCCAGCTCCTTCTGCAAGGGACCTGCAGATGAAATGGAAGCCCTCATCCTCACCACCTCCCCCTTCCAGAAAACCCAGGCAACAGCCACCTCTGAATGCTGCTTTAGAAGCTTCTCCCTCCTGGTGATTAAACCACCCCAAACAAATAAAGCACTGCATTTCCACCATAGGCTTGTTCACACGCACACAGCCAATTGTCTTGGATCCGCCTGTGTGCCTGATTCATCAGGGTGAGGGGTTCTCCTCTGAGGTGCTTGAGAAGAGCTGCTTAATTTTCATCTGGAAGACTCTCTGTAGAAACCAGGCCCAGCTTTGGAAGAAAGCCCTTTCTCCCCCTTTAGCAAATTCTGTGTCATTCTTTTTTTCTTTCTTTCTTTTTTGAGACAGAGTTTCACTTTTGCTGCCCAGGCTGGAGTGCAATGGTGCAATCTCGGTTCACTGCAGTCTCTGCCTCCCAGGTTCAAGAGATTCTCCTGCCTCAGCCTCCTGAGTAGCACCCACAACCATAACTGGCTAATTTTTTTTGTATTTTTAGTAGAGAGGGAGTTTCACCATGTTGGCCAGGCTGGTCTCGAACTCCTTACCTCAGGTGATCCACCTCGGCCTCCCAAAGTGCTGGGATTACAGGTGTGAGCCACCATGCCTGGCTGGAATTCTGTGTCATTCTGGATACTTATCATGACTTCAAGCATCCAGGACTCTGTCCTGGGTATCCTGAGCCTGAGGGTGTATGTGTGTCCAGCTGGCTTGGAGGTTGTCTACAGGCAGGTTGAACTTGGCCTCTGAGTCCATGGCAGCCTCACATGGGAAATACCACCAAGGAGCCTCATCCTGTGCTTTTAGGAGATAGTTTCTATTTAGTCATTGCTGAATCTGTTACAGACAGGGTCTCAATTTCTTGCAAGTCCTGTATGAGGTGGGTGCTGTGATTATCCACATGTTCACTTGTTCTCTCTGGCCTCTTTCAGGCTCTTGCACTTCCTTTGCTCTTTTCCTGCCACAGGGCCTTTGCACATCCTGCTCTTTCTGCCTAGAAAGATTTTCCCTCTCCCTGCCTCTTCACCTGGTCACAGTCTCATCTGACAGTGGAGTCACTACATCCTCAGGGACGCCTGGCCACACTGACTCAGTCACAGCAACCCCCTGTTATCTGCTTTCATGACACGAGGTGCCTCTCTGTGGTAGACACTAGCTCAGCTATGGATTCCTATTTCTGTGCATGTCATCCTTCCCCTTCAAGACTGTGGTCACCATGAGGACCAGGGCCATGGCTGTTCCTGATTCTCATTTGTTTCTCTGGTGTTTAGTATATGCTCACCTATAATTTGATTAATGAATGATGTCATACCCATTTTACAGATGAGAAAGTTGAGGCTCAGGAACATTATGTAACTTGCTCAGTATTAGGTAGTGATGGTTTGAAGCCATCTGGCTGGTCGCTGGGTGCACACTCTTAACCAATTCACTATGGTTCTTCTCTCATGGTAGCTCTCCAATGGCAGGAGTGAGAGACAACTTTAGGACAGGTGTAACCAGAATCCCAGGGGTTATCCTAGAAGGTGGTGTCAGGGACATGCTTGCCTATGGGCCTTCTTACTGTATTACCTAAAATACTCAGTTTTTCTGACTCGCCTTTAGTTAAGACCTTAGCAATATTTGAAGCACAGTTGTCAATAGGAAAGGGTGGGTGTTTATACTTTTTTAAAAAGGAGTCTATCTCATATTTATCTTGTGGTCTGCCATGCCCCTCTGATCTTCTTCAGCTTCAGTTATGCAAAATTAACACTTCTTCTCTTGACTGCCTCTCTCTTACCTGTTCAGTTGCTTTTCTGTGTTCGAGATTGCTTAGAATTTTTCCCCATTACTACAGCCTGCTTCCCACCTGTATCCCCCAGCCAGCTTGTTCTGGATTTTGTCAACAAGAGTTCCAGCGTTTAGTGAGGGCTGGACTGAAGGAAAGCCTTGGAAAAGGCTGTGTGATGAAAGGTGAAGATACCTAATGGGCAGGCAGTCATCAGGGTTAATTCAAAGGCGGGAAGAAGGGCTGACCTGGAGGACTGGAAATGTCTTTGAGCTGAAGGTCATGTGCAGGTGGAACGAAGAGGGTGAGCCTTTTGGGGTGAACTGCAAGTGTTTGATAAGATCCCTGTCCCCATGTTTGGGGAAGTCTTGATAAGCATCCTCAATGTGATGGAGGGATTAAGGAACCCCTGGCTCTACCAGCCCAGCATAGCAGTAACATGACACAGCCAAGTTATTGATTATTGGTTGCTCAGCTGTCATCAGCTCACCATCTTCTTTTAGTTATACCTGTAATTTGCATTAGTTGCCAATGCCAGTTTTGACTTTCCTAGTCAATAAAGTGTTCTGAGAGTGGTGACTAAGGCTGAGCACTACCCATAACCATGAGTATTACAGAGGCAAGCCCCCTTGCCCACCCACCTACAGGTGATGAGACACCCTAGGAAATCAATCAATTATTTGGAGGACCCCGAATAAATGCTCAAGTCCATCTGTTCATCTGTCCATCCATCCGTCCACCCTTCCTTCCATCCATCCATCCATCCATCCATCCAGACATGCATACATCCATCCACCCACCCACCCATCTATCTATCCAACCCACCCATCTATCTATCCAACTCACCCATCTATCTATCCAACCCACTCTCTTATGCACCTAACTATTATCCACCTACCCACCCACCAACCCATCTATCCATCCACTCACCATGCATCTATCCACCCATTCACTCATCTACCCATCTATCCACCCACCGGTCCATCCATTTATCTATCCCTCCACCCCCTCACCCACTCATCCATTTCTCCACCCACTCAGCCATCCCTTCACCGACTCAACCATCCATTCATTCACCCATCTGCCCACCCATCCATCTTTCCATCCACCCATCTATCCACCCACCCACCTATGTATCCATCCATCTGCTTGTCCTTCTGTTCATTTATTCCACAAAGACTCGTTAACCACCTGCTAGATTCTGGGGGAGGTACCTGCTCTAGTAATTGAGAACACGGTCTCTAGAATATGATTCCCTGGGCTCAAACTGAGCTGCCTCCTAGTTAGCTGCTTGGGTGAGTTATAGAAACTGTGCTTTGATTTTCTTACCTGAAAATTGGCTATTAATAGCTTCTACTCTTGCAGATATAGTGAGGATTAAATAAGATGTCACGTTAAAAGTGCATCATCGACACTCAATAGAGATTAGGTTTTACCATTCATTATTATTCTTGGCAGATGCTGCAGATGACATGGAGAGCATACGAAAGACACATGTTTGAACCAATAGTGACATATAGGTGCTAAGTTCTTCAGTAGAGGGAAGGCAGAGAGCCATGGAGAGGGCCTGGCCCAATCCTGTAGCCTCAGAAAAAAGTTCCTTGTTGAACTGCTGTTTTAGCTGAGACCTGTTGGATGGGTAGTAGTTGGAGATCCCAGACGGGATGTGACCGAGTTAGCCAGGGAAAAATTTGGTCCTGGCACCCATGGCAGAGTTGAGTGATCCAGTCCTTCTGTCTCCTCTGGCTGGAAGTCCACCAGATCTGGGAATGTCAAGTTGGGGGAGGAGGCTGACAATGATCATGACCTTCACCTGTCCACACATGTCCTCTGTGTATCTGCAAAGCCTCTTCCTCAGTCTCCTCTTCTGGAAAGTAGGATTGGAAACCACATCTGCTTCTCTCCCAGGACTGCTAGGAAGACAAGATTAGATGGCAGGTGAGAGCTCTTTGAAAATGAAAACATTCTGCTGTTTGAATGCAAAGTGTTCTTCTTTGCCTGTGATGTTTCCTAATCTGTGAAATCATACTGGACCTCGAAGCTGTCTATTAAAAAAAAATAGCAAAGTGGCTGGGCATGGTGGCTCATGCCTGTGGTCCTAGCACTTTGAGAGGCTGAAGGGGGGTGGATCACTTGAGGCCAGGAGTTCGATACCAGCCTGGCCAATATGTGAAACCCCATCTCTACTAAAAATACAAAAATTAGCCAGGTGTGGTGGCATCTGCCTGTAGTCCCAGCTACTCAGTAGGCTGAGGCAGAAGAATCATTTGAGCTCAGGAGGCAGAGGTTGCAGTGAGCTGAGATGGCGCCACTGCACTCCAGCCTGGGCGACAGAGCGAGGCTCTGTCTGAAAATAGAAAAAAAAAAAAAAAAAAAAAAAGCAAAGTTAACACTTCCTCCATCTCTCCCCTAGGGGAGGTAATTTGTCAAAGATTGTTGTTGGATTTTACACACAGGGAAATCTAAGGAAGGTGTGGAAACCAGACTAGGACTCCAGACTCTGGTCTCCCTGTTTATAGGATCTTAAATGGGGGAGCCACTTTGGGTTCTTTCCACAAGATTGCTTTGTAAAAAAACCAAGAAACAAACAAACAAAAAACTCAAAAAAACAGCCCTGACCTAAATATTCACAAGAGACCTTAGGCAATATCTGCAAACAAAAGTGAGTGATGAGTGGAATCTGTCATCTTTACAACTAAGACAGCTCCAGAGTTGAAGCAAGTGGAAATATCTCTAGAGACAGAGATTTGGGCAGGTTTTGCCAGTTACAAACTATGAGAACCTGGGCAGGTTTACCTCTTTGAGCTTCTGTGACCTTGTAAAATAGGCTGCATTGCGCTAAACGCGCAGGAGGAATCCCAGCATCCTCCTGTGCACAAGGCTGGTCTCTTCCCATCCTTTTCCTGGTTCTGCCTTTCTCCTCCTCTCCAAGAGATGAATACATTTGGACCCAGTAGGGGCCTATATTTGCAAAAGCTTGCAGGTGATTCTCATGCAGCCAGCCTGGCTCTGGCACTGAGTTCTTGGACACTTTTGGAGGCACATTTACTAGTGAGGAAGGTCACTGTGTGTTAAAGGCGGGATTCATCTTCCATTCCTTTCTTCCATGAAGCAAAGTGCATGGGTCGACTGAGCTGGGAGAATCCACAGTGTCAGCCTCCCCCACACTTCCCTCCCTCCTTATTCCTTGTGTACTATACTTTGTCTTGATTTCCTGTACTCTGCACCAAGACAGGAGATGGTAACATGTCAAAAAAATCATTTTTTTTGGGAAATGGGATCAAGAGAGTTTTTGTTTGCTTGTTTGTCTGTTTGAGACAGGGTCTGTCGCCCAGGCTGGAGTGCAGTGGCATGACCTTGGCTCACTGCAGCCTTGACCTTCTGGGCTCAGGTGATCCTCTCACCTCAGCCTCCTGAGTAGCTGGGACTGCAGGTGCACACCACCATGCCTGACTAATTTGTCTATTTTTTGTAGAGATAAGGTTTCACCATGTTGCCTAGGCTGGTCTCAAACTCCTGGGCTCAAGCAGTCCTCCATCTGCCTCAGCCTCGCAAAGTGCTGGAATTACAGGCATAAGCTGCTGTGCCTGGCCAAGGTTTTTTTATTATTATTATTATGAAAAATTTTCAGTATACATAAAAGTAGACTAGTTTAATGAGCTATCATATACCCATCACATAGGTTTAAAAACTATTAACGTTTGCAATATTTACTCCATTTGTTTTTCTGAAGTATTTAAAAAATGGTTTACAGTAGTTATGTAATTGCATCATGATATTCACCCCTACATAATTTACTTTCCCTCTAAAAACATGAGGGCATTTTTTATATGATCATTGTCATACCTAATCAAATTACCAGTAATTCCTTAATAAGCCAAGGTAGGTGGATCATGAGGTCAAGAGATCAAGACCATCCTGACCAACATAGTGAAACCCTGTCTCTATTAAAAATACAAAAATTAGCCAGGCATGGTGGTGGGCGCCTATAGTCGCAGCTACTCAGGAGGCTGAGGCAAGAGAATCGCTTGAACCCAGGAGGTGGAGGTTGCAGTGAGCTGAGATTACACCACTGCACACCAGCCTGGGTGGCAAGAATGAGACTCTTGAAAAAAAAAAAGTCTCTCACTGTGGTCTCATAATAAAAGGACACTCCATTTCCCATCTGGCCCCTGCTCCTTAATGTTAGCCCCCTCCTGTGGGGAGGAGGGGGTGACCTTCAGCACAGGTTCAAGCATTCCCAGGGCTAGCTCTGATCCTGATAAAGCCCATCGTCATGAATGAATGCTTCCCTTGCAGGTTATTCTAAGTATTGTAAATAGTGGACGTGGAGCGTCCTCATGATGCCTGGGATGGTAGTGAATATTTATAGGTTTCTTTTAGCGCCTTTTTTTTTTAGTGTTTTCTATAGTTCCATGTTTCTACTACCCTTAGGAACATCAGAATCATGTGTGTGTGGGTGCTTATTAAATAAACCAGTTCCTGGAGCTCACTCCCAGGGACTCCCAGTCTGATGATTAGGGGCTCAGCTAGGACCTATGTTTGCAAAAGCTCCCATCTGATCTCATGCAGCCAGCCTGTCTCTGGCTCTGGCTCTGGCTCTGGGAGCTGGGTTGGGAACTAGTCTTTGGTGCTATTCTGCTGAAACTTCAAGTTGGGCTCTTTGACTCCGTCTTGTATTGTCATCACTTGTATTCAGTTCTGTTCTTCCCCTGGATTGTAAACTCCTTGATGTCTGCATCATCTCAGCTCATGAGCTGAGCTTTCAGTGGGTGCTCAGTGGAACAGGTGCTGAATGGAGTCAGGCTGTAGGGAGGCCAGCGTGTGTTGGTAAGTGAGAGACAAAAATCATTTTAAAAAAATCTTTTTGCCCTTCAGTTGTGTTTGCCATGAGTTAATGTGATTTACTCTAGTGGAAGCCAGTGCAGCTTAAGTGGAGGTCTTGCCCTGAAATGGAGCCAGGTTATGGATCAGCAGAGCTGCCAAAAGCATTTTGGGGGAAATGTTTCTGTGTCACCCTCAGTTGATTGAACTCAAATTTTCACTCCCATTTAACACCACGTGGGGGCCATTCTGACTTCTGCGGAGTGGGTATGATCAGATCTTCTGTAAAAGTGTAAGTGAGGAGGCTGGGCACGGTGGCTCACACCTGTAATCTTAGCACTTGGGAGGCTGAGGTGGGCTGATCACTTGAGGCTGAGAGTTTGAGACAAGCCTGGATGACATGATGAAACGTCATCTCTACTAAAAATACAAAAATTAGCCAGGCATGATGGTGCATGCCTGTAATCCCAGCTACTCAGGAGGCTGAGGCAGGAGAATCACTTGAACCTGGGAGGTGGAGGTTGCAGTGAGCTGAGGTTTCACCACTGCACTGCATTCCAGCCTGGGTGACAGAGCGAGACTCTATCTCAAAAAAAAAAAAAAAAATGTGTATGTGAGGAAACTGGGATTGAGCTTGGGGATGTTGGGGGATGGAGGTACTTCATCTACTGAACAAAAACCATGGGATACCAATGCTGGAGGAAGAAGCATCATCCTCAGTTTCCACTAACTCAACCACGCATGAGATGGGGACTTGGTGTCCGAGAGAAAAGCCTCTTTTTAGGTCTTCAACCTTGATCAAACCATTTCTGAATTCCTCATATGAAGGGGTGGCCTGCCCCTCCATACCTGTGGGTATTTCTAGTCAGGTGGGATGAGAGACGGAGAAAAGAAATAAGACACAGAGACAAAGTATAGAGAAACAACAGTGGGCCCATGGGACCGGCGCTCAGCACACCAAGGACCTGCACCGGCACCGGCCTCTGAGTTCCCTCAGTTTTTATTGATTATTATTTTTCATTATTTCAGCAAAAAGGAATGTAGTAGGAGAGCAGGGTGATAATAAGGAGAATGTCAGCAAATTACATGTGAGCAAAAGAATCTATATCATGATTAAGTTCAAGGGAAAGTACTATGCCTGGATGTGCACGTAGGCCAGATTTATCTTTCTCTCCAACCAAACATCTCAGTGGAGTAAAGAGTAACAAGGCAGTATTACTGTAAACATGTCTCACCTGCCGCCACAGGGCAACTTTTCTCCTATCTCAGAGTTGAACAAATGTACAGTCGGGTTTTACACCGAGACATTCAGTTCCCAGGGGCAAGAAGGAGATAGTGACCTTCCTCCATCTCACCTGCAAGAGGCTTTCCTCTTTTACTAATCCACCTCAGCACAGACCCTTTACGGGTGTCGGGCTGGGGGACAGTCAGGTCTTTCTCATCCCACAAGGCCATATTTCAGACTATCACATGGGGAGGAACTTTAGACAATACACTGCTTTCAAGGGCAGAGGTCCCTGCAGCTTTCCACAGTGCATTGTGCCCCTGGTTTATTGAGACTAGAGAATGGCAATGACCTTTACCAAGTATACTGCTTGTAAGTATTTTGTTAACAAGGCACGTCCTACCCAGCCCTAGGTCCCTTAAACCTTGATTTTATACAACACATGTTTTTGTGAGCTCCAAGTTGGGCCAAAGTGCCTGGGTCAAAGTGGCTGGGGCAAAGCTACAAATCAACAACATCTCAGCAAAGCAACTGTTTAAAGTACAGGTCTTTTTCAAAATGGAGTCTCTTATGTCTTTCCTTTCTGCATAGACACAGTGACAGTCTGATCCCTCTTTCTTTTCTCTACATTTCCCCCTTTTCTTTTTGACAACACCGCCATCGTCATCATGGCCCGTTCTCGCTGGTCGCTGTTTCTCCGTAGCTGCTGGATACACCTGTAGACTAACAATAGAGAGGACAGACATACAAGGATTAATGCAAAATTTGCAATAGTGGAATTTCCAATAGTTTTAATCCAAGTGACAGGCTTAAGATTTGTGAGGCTATTAACAACTTTTACCATTGCCTTAGTTTCTGGCACCAGATTTAACTGGGCTTTTGATGTTTTAAAAATTTGTTTTTTCAATCTAGAAATATCTAAGGTAAGATTATCTTCTTTTCCCTGTAGATGGTGTCTAACCATGTCCCAGTGATGTTCAGATTCGTTATAGACTTGAGGTGTAATACAAAAATCTGACATATTCCAGTCACACTGTAACTGAAAAAGATATTCCAAGCTCATGAGCCTATCTCCCATTCAAATAACAGTTTGTCTAAGATCATTAATTTGATTTGTCAATTTTTGATCTATTTGAGTCTGAGAATTCCACACTTTTGAGGAATTCTTTTGCCATTTATTCACATATTCTGCAGTTTGAACAGAGGAGTGTAAAGCAATTCCAGCAGCCACAGCAGTAGCTGTGACTGCAATAAGACCTATAATCACTGCAATCAAAGTAAAAATGAATTTTTTAGATCTGGTTAGAACTCCTTTTAATACTTTTGTTAAGATGTGTACAGATGGAGAAGCTTCCCACGGTCGGTCCATGGACACAGGGATCCACACACCTTTTCTTGCCCTTACTAACAGAATACGATGCTGCCAATCAAAAGTTGAATCAATGCAAGTAAACAATCTACAATTTTCACAGGTTATAGTTTGGGAATCTGGTTTAATAACTATGTTTCCTACAACTAGCATATAAGGGGGTTTTACACAACTTTGCAAAGGAATTGTCAGATTGGAATTTAGGTTAAGAGTATAATATGGCTTATGATTTTTTGTTCCCATAACTTGATTTTCAGACCAAATTCTAGTGTGGTATGAGGCCACAGTAAGCTTCTATAATTCTGGGTGTTCAGGAACAACAACAGGACTAACTAACTTTGGTCGGGGTGATGAAATCCCCATTTCACCCCATTTCCATGGATAGGGTCATTCTAGCCTTCTATAAACTTGGTCTAGTTTTTTAGTTAAATCACTATTATAGGCTGGATTAGGGGGCCAGACAGATAGAGCCTGTGAACACGAGTGGGTCTGGCCCATACAATCATAATATAACTGGCCTCGAGGGGCCCAGTCTATAATAGTTCCAAACTTATTGTTTTGTAGTACCACTGCAGTATCAGCCACACATTCTTCCTAAACTAAGACTTTTGGGTCTTTTGATTCTTTTGGAATTTCCTCGGGGCATGGTTTCCCTTTAGGCCTAAATTTTAATGATCTTTGATAGGAAGAATTTTGTAAATTATTTATTTGTGACCCGAGTGACATTCCACTTATCACATGATAAGTAAATTTACTGGTGCCACTGACAGTAGGTACTTCTACCAACCAATTTTGGATAGTAGGCATTAAGCATCCTGGTGCTTTTCCCAAGCAAATAGGAGGATAATGATACCCAATGGAAATGTTTATCATCATTCCTTCTTCTTCAGGTTGGGCAGGGCCACGGTTATCTGTGGGGCCTGGTACCCATACACTGTTATTAACATATATTTCAATAGGATTATCTATCCAAGTGACTGCCCGAATTAAGGGTGGGAAAGGCACATAGGCCCAGTAAGTATAGTTAGCTCTAGCGGCTCCCACAGACGTAGGGAGACTTACCACTGTTGATACAATCATTAAAGCTGCAAGCAGCATATTCTCTGGAGTTTGTGTTACCCTTGTGTTTTCCAGGCTTTTTTTAGCTAACTGTGTCAGCTTCTTTAGCTGGGCCCAGGTCGGCAGCTCCACCTTTTTGGTGGATGGCAATTTCATCTGTTTTTCTGATATTACCATTTTATTCATCCTGCGAGTCGATGATGTTCGATTGTGGGTTTTTTGTCTCTGCAGAGGCGCCTTCCTTTGTATCTCTGATGGGTTCATTGTAGAACTTCAAATGTCTAGTGGGTACCCAAACAGGAAGCTGATTTTCTCCTGGTGAAACACAAGTAAAACCTCTCCCCCATGTTATCACTCTACCTATTTCCCATGTTTTATTTTTGTTATTTTCCCACCAAATCAGTTTTTCCTCATGTGGGCTGTTCTTTTTACCGGTAAAATGTTATTCTGCAGGAGTAGTGGTTTGATTTCTATATATATTTAAAAAATTTAAAGTACAGAGTGCTATATTAAGTTGCATCTGAGGAGTGTTATACTGTTTACTGTCTTTTTCCTTTTTTTGTTTAACCAATTGAGCTTTGAGTGTTCTATTAGTTCTTTCAACTATGGCCTGTCCTTGGGAATTATAAGGGATTCCTGTTGTATGTGCAATTTTCCATGGATTTAAAAATTTTTGAAATGCTTTACTACAATATCCTGGCCCATTATCTGTTTTAATTTTTTTTGGAACTCCCATGACTGCAAAACAAGATAATAAATGTCTTTTAACATGGGAAGTACTTTCTCCTGTCTGACAGGTTGCCCATATGAAATGTGAATAAGTATCAATGTTACATGGACAAATGACAATTTTCCAAATGAAGGTACATGTGTAACATCCATTTGCCATAGTGCATCAGGACATAAACCTCTGGGATTAACTCCTGCCTCTTGAGTGGGCAGGTGTAAGACTTGACACTGAGCACAATGTTGTACAATATTTTTTGCTTGTTTCCATGTGATATCAAATTTGTTTTTTAATCCTGTTACATTTACATGAGTCAGGATATGAAGTTCTTGTGCTTCCATGAAGGCAGATGATACTAGCAAATCAGCTTGTTCATTTGCCTTAGTTAAAGGCCCTGGTAAATTAGTATGTGCTCGAATGTGACTAATATAAAATGAGAACTTTCTTTTTTCACAGTTTGTTGTAACAATTTAAACAGCTGATTTAACTGATCATCCATACTATATTTGATTAGAGCTGTCTCAATATCCTTGGTAGCCTGTACTACATATGTAGAATCCGAAACAATGTTAATAGGCTGATTAAAATCTTGTAACACTGAAATGACAGCAACCAATTCTGCTCTTTGAGCTAAGTGATATTGAGTTTCAATGACTCGTTCTTTTGGTCCAGTGTAAGCCTCTTTTCCATTGCTGGAACCATCAGTAAACACTGTCAGAAGATTTTCTAAAGGTTTATGTCTGGTAATTTTAGGTAAAATCCAAGTAGTCAATTTTAAAAACTGGAAGATTTTTGCTTTTGTGTAATGATTATCAGTAATTTCCACAAAATCAGCAAGACCAATCTGCCATGCACCAGAATTGATAAAGGCTTGTCTAACCTGTTCCTTATTTAAAGGAACAATGATTTTATCTGGGTCACTTCCACACAATTTTACTATTCGTAATCTTGCCTGATTACGAATTCGTAAACTTGCCTGATTACGAATTCGTAATCTTGCCTGATCAAATGTAGCCATTTGATCTAAGTACAATGTAAAAGTCTTAATTGTACTGTGAGGAAGGAATGACCACTCTACAAGATCTGTATCTTGAACAATAATGCCTGTTGGAGAATGTGCAGTAACAAAAATTAAAAGTTGGAGTGGGGCTGAGTGATCTATTCTATTTACTTGTGCTGACTGATTTTTTTTCTTCAACTAATTTAATTTTTTTATTTGCCTCTGGGGTTAATATTCTTTTACTATTCAAGTCTGGATCCCCTCTCAAGATAGAGAACAAGTTTGACATGGCATAAGTAGGGATGCCTAAAGTTGGCCGAATCCAATTAATATCTCCTATCAATTTTTGAAAGCCATTTAATGTTCTTAATGTGTCTTTTCTTATTTCTACTTTTTGTGGTTTAATGTTTCTTTCCTCTACTTGCATTCTCAAATAATGAAAAGGAGTGGAGGTCTGAATCTTAGTAGATGCTATTGTCAGGCCTGCGTTTGCAACGTCTGCTTGCAGAAATGTGTAACAGTCAATTAATTTGTCTCTTGTTTCTGCAGCACACAAAATATCATCAACACAATGAATGATATAACAGTCTGAAAACTTGTCTCTAACTGGTTGAAGAACTTGAGCTACAAAAGTCTGACAAATAGTTGGACTATTAACCATTCCCTGAGGCAACACCTTCCACTGAAATCTGGTGGCTGGTTCTTTATTATTTATAGCTGGTATAGTAAAATCAAATTTTTCAAAATCCTGTTTTGCCAGAGGAGTGGTAAAAAAGCAATCCTTCAGATCAATTATAATTAAAGGCCAATCTTTGGGAATCATGGCTGGAGAGGGCAGCCCAGGTTGGAGAGGCCCCATGGATTGAATTACTGCATTAACGGCTCTTAAATCAGTTAGCATGTGCCATCTGCATGATTTTTTCTGAATTACAAACACAGGAGAATTCCAAGGCGAAAATGATGGCTCAATATGTCCCTTTTCTAATTGTTCCTTTGCCAATAAGTGTAAAGCCTCCAGCTTTTGTTTTGGTAGTGGCCACTGATTTACCCATACAGGCTTTTCTATTTTCCAAGTTAATGGAATGGGTTTTGGAGGCTCTACAGTGGCCACTCCTGAAAAGGATACTCTAATCCCTTTTTTTCTGTATTTTCTTTAGCCTCAATTGGAACTTTAATGCCTTCTCCATTTTTCCCTAGTCCTTTGCCAGGGAGATATCCCATTTTAGTCATAATTTTTTGACTAGTGGCGCTGTATAGGGAGACTGGAATAGTAATCTCTGAATGCCACTGTTCTAATATGTCTCGGCCCCATAAATTAATTGGAATAGAAGTAATCATAGGCTGAACTGTACTCTCTTGATTATCAGGTCCCAGACAATGTAAAATTTTGGCACTTTGATACACTTCTGAGGCAGTGCCCACACCAACAAGTCCTGCAACGGGCTTTTGTTTAGGCCAATTTTTTGGCCATTGATTTAAGGCAATGATAAAAACATCAGCCCCAGTATCCACTAATCCTTCAAACTGCTTTCCCTGAATAGTAACTGTACACAAGGGTCTATTCTCTGAGAGCTGACTAGCCCAATAAACAGCTTTTCCAGCAGGGTTGGTACTTCCAAACCCTTCTGTTCTTTCTGTTTTGCTATCTCCAATTTTAATATAAGGCAAGAGCAGTAATTGAGCAATTCTCTCACCTGGATTGGCACTCCAGGGAACAGTAGAGCTGATCACTAACTGAATTTCCCCTTTATAATCTGAATCAATTACCCCAGTATGAATTTGGACTCCCTTTAAATTTAGACTTGATCTTCCTAAAATAAGGCCTACCATCCCTTCTGGCAGCGGGCCATATACCCCTGTAGGAATCTTTTGCGGAGGCTCTCCAGGGAGTAAAGAAATAATCTGAGTGAACATAAATCTACTGCAGCACTGCCTGCTGTGGCGGGGGATAACTCTTGTATTGTTGTAATTGGCTGATTTCCTGAAATGGTGGTATTTACTGTGGGGGTTGTTGTCCCTGAAAACCCTGAGGAACAAATGGCTGAATCGGGAATGCCCCACTTTGTTGTGGGGCCTGGGGCTGGCCCCTCTTCCCGTTTCCCGACAATGGTTGTCCATTTTTATCAAATTTAGAACAACATTCCTTAGCCCAACGTTTTCCTTTTCCACATCTTGGACACAGGCCAGGTGCCTCCTTTTTTTTGCTCTGTTTATTTAAGCCTGGACAATTTTTTAGATGACCGATTTGACCACAGTTATAACAGTTTCCCCCCAAATGTTTTAACTTGTCCTCCTAAAGCAACCCCTGTAATTGCTTGAGCCATTAACATTGCTTTATGCATAGCTCTTCCAATCCCATCACAAGCCTTCACATATTCTGTAATTACATCAACTCCTGCTGAAACCTTTTCTTTTAATGGCTTTATAGCCGATTGACATTCTGGATTTGCATTTTGATAAGCCATTATTTCTACAATAACTTTTCGGGCGTTATTATCTGCAATGCATTTTTGAGCTGCATCTTGCAACCTTGCCACAAAGTCTGGATATGGCTCTTTAGAGCCTTGTCTGATTGAACTAAAAGAAGGGCAGGAGGTTCCTGGGTCCTGAATCTTCTCCCAGGCCCTGAGGTAAATAGCCCTTAGTTGTTCAATAGCCTCATTCTGCATTACTGATTGTTGGTTAATAGTGACCCAATTTGGACCTGTTCCTAGCAACTGATCTGCATCTATATAACCAACAGGATTAATAGCCTGATTTTTCCATACCTGTTCTTGTACCCCATCAATCCACCAGGTTTTAAACTGTAGATACTGAGAGGGTGAGAGGGAAGATTTAACCAAAATTTCCCAATCTTAAGGAATAAGTCTATTTCCATGAGCAATGGAATCTAATAATGTT
This sequence comes from Homo sapiens, assembly GCF_000001405.40. Lineage (NCBI taxonomy): Eukaryota > Metazoa > Chordata > Mammalia > Primates > Hominidae > Homo > Homo sapiens. The sequence goes on along the minus strand of NW_021159989.1, from coordinate 199,188 downwards.
CTCATATAAGGACAGTTGGGTCCATATTGTTTAAATCCTTCCTTTAAATTTTTTAACATTTTCATGGTGAAAGATTCATATCTAGCCTCAGTTCAGACAGATGCTCCTGTTTGACTCCCTTTTCTGGCCGGTATGGGTTGTAAAATTACCGGATACTGCCATGCCTCAAGATCTCCCTGTTTTCTGGCTGTAGCAATGGTCTCATGCAGTGCACCATCTTGTCCACTAGGTGGTGCTGTAGGATCAAACGCCATCGCCGTGGGTTGTTGATATAGTGTCTTGCTATTTAGCACAGGACGCACCACCTGAGATCCATACTGAACCTCTGGAGACGGCCGATACTGAAATTCGGCTGGCGGCTGGTGTTGATAAACTACCGATGGTTGGGTTTTATTTTCTACTGCCTGCTATTGTGGATACTGTGCCTGGATTAGCATTTGAGATTGTGATGTCACAGGTATCTGAACCGCGGGAGAAGGAGATGGTGGCCATCATGGTCTAAACTCTGATGGCCCAAATAATTCTGGACCTCCTTTCCCCAATTTTGATGTTTCAGGATATATTGCTTCCTGTAACTGATTATAGTCAACATTTTGCATTGACTGAGCTATTACAGGCTGTACTGCATTTTTACAATGTGGACTTTCCATTCCTTTCTTAAACTCTGTTCCTGCCTCTTCTTCACAATCTATTACACAGCTTTCAGGGGCATCAAAGACTGAAATGCTATCTTCTTCTATTTGAAATGGTTCTAAAGTTGCTTTAGTAATGGCCCAATCATTCCATACTGTAAGTGGGATGATTTTACCTTCCCGAGTTGCTTGTTTTAGTCCTTTGCCAATTTTTTCCCAATCTTTTAAATCTAAAGTTCCCTGTTCTGGAAACCATGGGCAGAATTGTTCTACTGTTTGAAATAGCGTAACTAAATTTTCTGTAGAAGCTTTAACTCCCCCTCTTCTTAAGAGAATTTTGATGAAGCTGAGATAAGAGGCATATTTACTTTCAGTTTGCCCCATTGTTACCCTGGATTCCTCCGAGCGCACAAGCTTACTGCAAGGCTGACTGTGGACGTACTCGGGAATCTCTTGTCGGCTGTCCTCAATGCTCATGTTCTTATCGTACCTTTACCCTAGAGAAAGGCCCCACATTGGGCGCCAGATGAAGGGGTGGCCTGCCCCTCCACCCCTGTGGGTATTTCTAGTCGGGTAGGATGAGAGACGAAGAAAAGTTTTGTACTAACCTCCCTTGTACTAACCCCCTTTCCCTGGCCTCTTCCAGCTTGTCTTCTTCTCTCCCAGTAGTTTCTTCATGAAGAGGCCATGTGCTAAATTCCATGAGATATTTCACACTCAAAGAAGGCTTCTTTTATACTCTTTTGATAATTTGTCTGGGAATCACTGTCTCAATTTATAAGGGAGTTTGTAATAAATACAGTAAAAGAGAAACACACAAAGTATTTTGAGATATCAGAGAAGGGAGAAACCAATTCTATTAATATTTGGGGTTAGCAGGGAAGGCTTAGTTAAGAGGTGACATTTGAACTAAGCCTTGAAATAAGAGAAGGATTTGGACATGCAGTAATGGGGAGAGAGTAGAAGCAAGACATGATGGTTAATGTTATGTATCAATTTGACTGGGTTGTGGGGTGCCCAGATATTTGGCTACACATTAGTCTGGGTGTGTCTCTGAGGTATTCTGGATGAAGATAACATTTAATTGGTAGACTGAATAAAGCAGATTGTCCTCCCCAATATGGGTGAGCCTCATCCAATCCACTGAAGGCCTGAACAAAACAAAAAGGTGGAGTCACAGAGAATTTGCTCTTTTTTCCTGATTATATTTGAGCTGGGACATCAATCTTTTCCTGACTTTAGATGTGGACTCGAGTTGGAACTATATCATTGGCTGTCCTGGGTCTCCAGCTTGCTGGCTGCAGACTCCAGGACTCCTTAGCCTCCATAACCATGTGAGCCATCCCTTACAACAAATCAATCTGTCTCTATGTGTATAGCTCTACCTCTATCTCTCTGCTCTTTCTCTGGAGAACCTAGAGTAATACACAAGGTTATATTAGAGAAGAGGATGACCCAAGGAAAAGTGTGGAGGCAGAAAAGTGCAAAGAGGTTTTGGGAAGACTGGGGTCCTGATGGGGAGTTTGGATTTCACTGTGTGTAGCATGGAGAATCCTTGAAAATATTCAAGAGGTGAAAATTGTATTCGTGGAAGAACACCAGGAGTATGTGAAAAGAAAAACACTCACTCCATTTTGACTCCACTGAAGGGGGCATCAAAGGGATGCACTGGGGACATGGGTTGGAGGGTCATTGAGGCCATATCTGGAGGATCCTTACTTCTAGGCTGAGTCTGAAGTTATCTTTCTGGGGAGTGGGAGATTACAAATCTTTGAGCTCCACTGAAGAGATGGTTTTGCTAACAATGACAGGGCGATGGTTGTGGTGGTGGTGGTGGTGGGAAAATGGTATCATGAATTCTAACTGGGCTTCTGTTATTCTAGCTGAGAAAGTTTGGTAATGGACTTTCAGTAGAATAATACAGATCTGGGAATCAACTGCATGGAGGAGGTAGTTATAGGTGATGAGATGGCTCAGGGACAAAGTTTGGTAGAAGGAGAAAAGATACTAGGCTGGTACAAAAATAATTGCTATGATTGCCATTACTTTTAATGGCAAAATCCACAATTACTTTTGCACCAACCTAATAGGGTGCAAACTTCGGAGCCATCTGCATCAGAGGGATTGATGAAGATCAACAAAGTTTGGGAACACAGGAAAGGAGCGGGGAGGGTAATGACTTGAGGGCATAGCAGGGATAATCAAGGTTTTTCTTGTTAGCATGTGGAGACTTAAGCATGATTATATATTAAACGCCTGGCACATACATCGTGAAAAATATTTATGAGTGAAATGACAAGTGAAGGTGGTGAGTCATGGGAGTTCCAAGGGAATGGGTGATAAAGGGAGGTCTCAAATGAGACACAAGTGGAGAAGGTAGCTTGGGAAAGGAGAAGGATGTTTCTCCTTATAAGATGGGAAAGGCAGAGGAAGAGGGTCAAGATACAGTGATCTAGGGGTGAGATGGAAGTGAGTTGAGAGAACTCAACTCTGGGCTCTGAAACCCCTAGGGATGGGTTTGGGGGGCTTTGAGATATGGAAGAGGTTAAAAGTCAATTGTTATAGCAAATATGGTTTGGAATTTATTTGTGATGCTTAAAAATATTGCTGAACAGAAGTGAAGTCTATCCTAGAGTTGGATGGTGAGATTATTTAGTGGAACTACAAGATCCATGATGTGATTCTCTCCAGTATCATTCAGCAGCCCTTAGGCAGTTGCGAGGCAAGTCATCAATGGGGTATGGAGATTTTCCAGGTGGGTGTGGTTGAAAGCAGGGAAGAACGAGTTTAGGAGCACATTACAAGAAGAAGGTGACTGTAAGGTCCAGGCTGAGCAGGAAGGTAAAGCAAGAAGGAAACATGAGGTTGTGAAGAGAAGTTTAGAGGGATGAGGAGGCAGGAGAGGTGAACAGTTGCGGGATGTAGCTAGAGTGGCGATGTTAGATCTTGGGGCCAGAGAGCTTTACAGTGATTATGAAGATCAAAGGGCATTAGAATCAAGCTATAAAGAGCCACTGTTTGATGTTGGGATGTGAGGATGCTGCAGGTGGATGTCTGCACATTGATGGTGAGAACATGGTCACCCTGGCCCTGCTGGGTCTTTGCTAAAGAAAGTGTGCTCTGTTCTTGGGGCCATTTTCATCACCTGATTAGAGCAGTGGTCCCCAAATGGTGTTCTTTGGACCATCTGTATAAAATGTTCATAGGTCAAGGATAAAATGGAAAAACAGAGAAAATGTCACAGAAATGTGCCCATTGGTGAAAGACCACCAGCTGTCCTTTTTGGAGGATTGTTCTGTATTCTAAAAATGTATATATTCTATTCTTTTAAAACATTTTTGTATTTGCATTTTTTTCCCTTTTATGAAATGCCATGGGGTAGAAATTTGTAATGTATCCAATTCTCCTGTCTGCATGCATTGCCCTGTGGTGGGGGAGGGGTTGTGGCTAGTTCTGGCCAAGAGGCTGGGGGCAGAGGTGTAGTGTGAGACTTCTAGCCTAGGGCATTTAATTCTTAGTACAAGACTCTCTAGCATTCTTCTCCCTCTGTTCCCTGCTTGGTGATACTCGAGGTAATGCAACCCCCATTAGCCTTAGTCTTAGGGCAAGTTTGATGGAAAACAGAGCACCCCTTACCTCCCTGCAGATGTAACATGACTGAGAAAAACAACTTCTGATGTTTGAAGTTACCAAGATTTAGGAGTTGTTTGTTATTGCAGCAAAACCTCACCTATTCTGACCAATCATGGTGGAATTTGTGTGTGTGTGTGTGTGTGTGTGTGTGTGTGTGTGTGTGTGTGTGTGTGTGAAACTGGTAGTTTAAAAAAGTTCCTTCTTACCAAAAAGAAAAAAAAATTGCAACCTTATGTTGGTTCTCAAATTAAAAAAATATTTTTACTGGTTTATAAAATAGAAAAATCTGAGAATCTGTAGCTTAGAGAACTATAGTGTGGATGTCTATAAAGACCAGGTTATTTTATCAGCTCCTAACACCCCTTAATAGAAGCTTAGCCAAAACTTGGACTATTTCAGTCTTTCCCATTCCACATTCCATGGACTCTTGAAGAGACATTGATGAAACGGTGCAGCCATGAACCACCCTCACTCAATCCTAGTGGCAGAATCCCCCTTTTACTGCAGAATGAGCTTCTTGCTACAGTGATACTTGAACCCCTTAGATATATCCTGTACTAATTATATTAAAACACGACCAATGATTTTGCTTTGTTGTCCCCCAAATTCAACAAATTAATCATGAGAACCCAAAGAATTGGATTTAGTGTAACTGATTCCAAAGTGTCAGTAAGAACATAATTAGGTTATAATTTTCTCCAGTTCAAATAAAAGAAAATTGGCAATAAAATGCTGATCGATATGTGTAGCTCAGGAGGTAGAGCCTGCTTTGAGATGCAGAAGTGTTTGTTTTTTTTAGATCTATATTCTTGAGTAAAGAAAAAATCCATCTCTCTTTCCTAGAGGGGAAGACTTTCAGAGATGGGCTTGGCAACAGCCTGACTATCAGAGGCTGAATTAAACAAATAGGTACCTCCCTGGAGTGAATGGTGCATTTCTCGTGTTTGGGGAACCGTGCTTTTATGGTGGAGTTTGCTTTCTGTCTTGGTCTCCGGATGTGTGTATCTGTGGGTGGATGTCTGCATGTAAATGGCAGTGTATACCTGTGTGGGTGTGTAAAAAATTCCCATGTGAATCTCAGCTTTGTGGGGATCTCCAGGTCTTGAGCCCAGCAGATGCCATTTGAAGAAAAATCACTTGAAAATGAGACAGAAAGAATGGAAACTAAATCCTAGCTCTAAAGACACCAGGCTGATTAAAAAAAAAAAAAAACTCTGGATCTTCTTTGTTTTGGACTCTACCTACCTCCAGATGACATTTCTGTTTCCTATGAGATGATTAGAATGAAAGAGATCCTGAGCACGAAAGAGCAGACAGTGTGTGATTGTGTGTATGTCAGGGTGTCAGCTGTGACACTGCTGACATTTTGGCTCAGCAATTTCTCTGTTCTATGTGTGGGGGTTCCCTGTGCATTTTAGGATGTTGAGCGGCATCCCTGGATCCCTGGACTCACTGGATGCAGTAACACAACTCCCCCCAAGTAGAGACAAACCCCAGCGTCTCCAGATATTGCCTAATGTCCCCATAGGGCAAAATAGCCCCATCTGAGAACTGCTGCTTTCATAAAGTACAATGTCAGGTGAAATAGGTGGAGGCTGTTTGTAGTCAGGGGTTAGTAGAGATGGAAGAGACCCCAGGAATATCCTGGAAGGGGCTGCAATATTTTGTTTCTTGAATTGGGTGTCGGTAATATGGAGATGTTCAGGTTTGTTGTTGTTGTTGTTGTTGTTGTTGTTGTTTTGAGGCAGGATCTTGCTCTGTCACCCAGGCTGGAGCACAGTGGCACCATCATGGCTCACTGCTGCCTCTGCCTCCTGGGCTCAAGCAGTCCTCCCACCTCAGCCCTCCTGAGTAGCTGGAACTACAGGCATGTGCCATCACTGTTGCCTAATTTTTGTATTTATTTATTTTTTGTAGAGAGGGGGGTCTCACTACGTTGCCCAGGCTGGTCTCGAGCTCCTGGGCTCAAGCAATCTGCTCACCTTGGCCTCCCCAAGTGCTGGGATGACAGGCATGAGCCACTGCTTCTGGGCAGTATGTTTGGTTTTTAAGAAAAGTACTGTGTTGACCTCTTCTGTGTGCACATTTCTTTAAGTAATAATTCAATAAAGCATTTAGAAAAATTGGTCATAATAGGAGTGATTTGTAGAGTGATTGGAATGAAAGCTGATCACCTTAATTTGAACTACTCTGAAATGAGCACCAGGGGCCACCAAGAGGAGCCTTTCAAGGTGTCATAGCCAAGGAGAGGACTGTGTTGTGTACACCTCTGCATAAAGGATTTGCTGGTTACATGCAAGGATGAGGCCTCCTTCTGAGGACAGAGGCAGCAAAGCAATTGGAAGCCCAAAGCATTGAGATTTCTAAATGGACTTTGCTAAAATCTTGTGGATGACTCATGCTCTTAACATACACCCATGTACATATTGTCCATATAAACATTAATTCTGTAACAAGGCCCACACATAAGGGTTTTTTTTTTCTTTTGAGACAGTCTTGCTTTATTGCCCAGGCTAGAGTACAGTGGCATAATTGTGACTCACTGCAACCTCTGCCTCCTGGGTTCAAGCAATGCTTGTGCCTCAGCCCCCCGAGTAGCTGGGACTACAGATGCACACCACCATGCCTGGCTAATTTCTGTATTTTTAGTAGAGACAGGGTTTCACCACGTTGGCCAGGCTGGTCTCAAACTCCTGGCCTCAAGTGATCTGCCCACCTCAGCCTCCTAAAGTGTTGGGATTACAGGTGTGAGCCACTGCGCCTGGGACCACTCATAAGGTTTGAGTTGAGATAGAGAAACTCTGGCAGGACTGAGGAATTTGGCCACAGTCTCTGGGAAATATGCACAATTTCTGGAATCTTCTCTACTTCCAGAGTTCCCACTTTCTATCTGTCTCCTATTTATTCAACAAACTTGTATGGAACCACAGTGAGTCTAGAACTTGCCAGGTGTGGAGGATAAAAAGATGACTGAGGTTGGGCATGGTGGCTCATGCCTGTAATCCCAGCACTTTGGGAGGCCAAGGCAGGCGGATCACTTGAGGGCAGGAGTTTGAGCACAGCCTGGCCAACGTGATGAAATGTCTCTACTAAAAATACAAAACTTAGCCAGGCATGGTGGCATGCACATGTAGTCCCAGCTACTTGGGAAGCTGAGGCAGGAGAATTGCTTGAACCCAGGAGGCAGATGTTGCAGTGAGCTGAGATCACACCGCTGCATTCCAGCCTGGGAGACAGAGCGAGATTCCATGTCAAAAAAAAAGATGACTGGGATAGAGACTCCATCAGAGTTGACTCTAACACAAACTTGGTAAGAGCCCAAGGCCTGGCTGGGCAAGCACCTTGATCAGCTTCATCCTGCAGCCTCTACTAGAGTGAAGAGCACTCTTTTCTTTACCCATGAAAATGTTTTGTGCTTCGTACCTACAAGTACAATTTGTGTTAATTCTGCAAAATTTGCCGTATAACTGTTCCTGTATTCTTAGCATTTTTCCTTTGAGAGATTTTTCATCACATTATCTTTGGGCTATGTGGAATTGGAAATTTACTTAGAGTCAACAACAACTTCAGGAAAGTCAGTTCTTAGTCAAGAGTTAGGTTTTCAAAGACAGTGGATAAAATAAAAAATCTAGTACAGTCAAGATTATACGTGCAAATCCCCTCATCATTCATAAAGTTTAGCAGTCAGTCTTACCGTGGCTCACCAGGTCCAATCCATACTTCTTCCTCCATGATTGGAGCAGAGGGTGATTTTTTTTATGAGCAACTGATGAAGTCATTTAGAGACCATTTGCAGTAGGAACCGTGTGTACTAGAGTCCAATCAATGTGCCCTCATAGCACCATTTCTGCCTCTTTCCCTCTTTGTTCTTGCCAAGTACCCACAGTTCATTTTCCACAGATTAAAAGAGCCCAAGTTGGACCTATACCTAGGAGCACAATTGCTGCGTCATTTGGTAACTCTATGTAGAATTGTTTGGGAAGTTGTTAAAGTGTTTCTCACAGTGGCTACACCATTTTAATTCCTTCCAGCAGTGTATGAAGGTTCTAGTTTCTCTGCATCCTCACCAACACTTGTTATTTTCTGTATTTTTTTTTTTTTTTTGAGACAAAGTCTTGCTCTGTCGCCCAGGCTGGAGTGCAGTGGCACAATCTCAGCTCACTGCAACCTCTGCCTCCCAGATTCAAGTTACTCTCCTGCCTCAGCCTCCCGAGTAGCTGGGATTATAGGCACCTGCTATCATGCCTGGCTAATTTGTGTATTTTTTTAGTAGAGACAGGGTTTCACCATGTTGGCCAGGCTGGTCTCAAACTCCTGGCCTCAGGTGATCCACCTGCCTCGGTCTCCCGAAGTGCAGGGATTACAGGCATTAGGCACTGCACCAGACCAATTTTCTCTATCTTTGATTCTAGCCATGCTTATGGGTATGACGTGGTATTGCATTGTGGTTTTGATTTCTGTTTCCCTGATGATGAATTTCATTAAGCATCTTTTCATGTGCTTATTGGCCACTTATATGTCTTCCGTGGAGATGTGCCATATTTTCATATTCAAAAATGAAAGCACAGGCCCACACAAAAATTTGTACATGAATAATTACAGTAGCATCACTCCTAATAACCCAAAGAGGGAATTAATCCAAATGCCCATCACCAGATGAAGAGATACACCGACTGTTGTCTACCCACATGGTGGAGTATTATTTGATCACAAAAAGGAGGAAAGTACATACACTACAGCGTGGATGAACCTTCAAAACAGATGAAAGATCACATTCTACATGATTTCATTCAGATGAAAATCTATAGAAATAGGAAGTCGATTAGTGGTTGCTTAGGGCTGGTAGGGGCATGGGAGGATAGGGGGTGTTAGCTAAAGGGTATGAGGTTTCTTTTTGAGGTCATGAAATGTTCTAAAATTGACTGGTAATGTTTGCGTATATCTCTGAATATATTAAAAACCATTGAAATGTAAAAAATGCAAAGAAAAGACAGCCCAAGTTGCAATTTTATTCAACACTTGATTGGCTTTAAAAATAGATTCCAGGCTGGGCATGGTGGCTCACACCTGAAATCCCAGTGCTTTGGGAGGCTGCGGTGGGAGGATTGCTTGAGGCCAGGGGTTCCAGGCAAGCCTTGGCAACATGGCAAGACCCTTTCTCTACAAAAAAAGAAAAAATAAATATCAGCTGAGTGCAGTGGCTCACACCTGTAATCCCAGCACTTTGGGAGGCTGAGGCGGGCAGATCTCCTGACATCAGGAGTTCAAGACCAGCTTGGCCAACGTGGTGAAACCCCATCTCTATGAAAAATAAAAAATTTAGCCTTTTGGTACTCTGAGCAGCACCATGGCGGTTGTTAAGAACAAGTGCCTTATGAAAGGTGGCAAAAAGGGAGTTAAGAAGAAAACAGTTGATCCATTTTCTAAGAAAGATCAGTATGATGTGAAAGCACCTGCTATGTTCAATATAAGAAATATTGGAAAGACTTGGTCACCAGGACCCAAGGAACCCAAATTGCATCTGATGGTCTCAAGGGTCTTGTGTTTGAAATGAGTCTTGCTGATGTGCAGAATGATGAAGTTGCATTTAGAAAATTCAAGCTGATTACTGAAGATGTTCAGGGCAAAAACTGCCTGACTAACTTCTATGGCATGGTTCTTACCTGTGACAAAATATGTTCCATGGTTGAAAAATGTTCAACAATGATTGAAGCTCATGTTGATGTCAAGACTACCGATGGTTACTTCTTTCATCTGTTTTGTGTTGGTTTTACTAAAAAACACAACAATCAGATACTGAAGACCTCTTATGCTCAGCACCAACAGTCTGCCAAATCCAGAAGAAGATGATGGAAATCATGACCTGAGAGGTGCAGACAAATGACTTGAAAGAAGTGGTTAATAAATTGATTCCAGACAACATTGGCAAAGATGTAGAAAAGGCTTGCCAATTTATCCTCTCCATGATGTCTTCATTAGAAAAGTAAAAATGCTGGAGAACCCTGGGTTTGAAAGGCATGGAGCTTCGTGGTGACGGTAGTAGTTTTGGAAAACCCACTAGGGATGAGACACATGCTAAAGTTGAATGAGCTGATGGATATGAACCACCAGTCCAAGAATCTGTTTAAAGTTCAGACTTAAAACAGTGGCAAATAAGAAGTACTATTTGTGAAAAACAAACAAGAAACAACAATGAAAAAAGCAAAATTAGCCTGGTGTGGTGGTGCATGCCTGTAATCCTAGCTACTCAGGAGGCTGAGGCATGAGAATCACTTGAACCTGGGAGACAGAGGTTGCAGTGAGCCAAGATTGCACCATTGCGCTCCAGTCTGGGCAACAGAGTGAGACTCTCTCCAAAAAGAAAGAAGAAAAAAAAAAGTATCTGGGCTTGGTGGCATGCGCCTGTAATCTCAGCTACTCTGAAAGCTGAGGTGGGAGGATAGCTTGAGGACAGGAGTAATTTGAGGATGCAGTGAACTATGATTGTGACACTGCACTCCAGCCTGGACTGCAGAGCAAGACCCTGTCTCTTATACATACATACATACATACATACATACATACATACATACACACACACACACACACACACACACACACACACATACATACATACATACAAACCCAGGCTCTACCTCTGGTGATTCTGACTCAGTAGGGTGGGGTATCCCCTAGGGATCCTGCTGTTCAGCCTGGTCTGGGATCCACTTTTCACTGGGAACTGATACACTGGCTGTGAGCCTTTCTGTCCTGAGATGTAGAGGTCATGGCGATGCAGGTTCAAGCTTAAGGAGACCTGACTGTGCGTTAGGTATTGTGCTGAACATCATCTCTTACTCACAGCAACATCCTTAGAAGGTTAATGATGTGTCCCTGCTCTACAGATGAGCAACTGAGCTTTCAGAAGAGTTTAGCTTCTTCAAAACTTATTCTTCCTATTGGAAACTTTGTACCCTTTGAGCAGTGTCTCCTATCCCCTACCTTTCCTCCACCCCAGCCCCTGATAACCACTGTCCTACTCTCTATTTCTGTGAGTTCAACTTCTTTAGATTCCACATATAAGTAAAATCATGCAGTATTTGTCTTTCTGTGCCTGGCTTATTTCACTTAACAGAATGTCTTTCAAGTTTATTTATGTTGTTGAAAATGACAGGATTTATTTCTTTTTTAAGGGTTAATAGTATTCCATTGGGTGTATATAGTACATTTGCTTTATCCTTTCATCCACTGATGGACACTTAGGTTGATTCTGTATCTTGGGTATTGTGAATAGTGCTGCAGTGAACATAGGAACGTAGGGATCCCTTCGACATATTGATTTCGATTTTTTTTTTTACTATACCCAGAAGTTGGGTTGCTGGATTATATGCTTTGAAATCTATAGCACAGCAGCGTGACTATAGTCAATAATAATGTATCTTTCAAAGTAACTAAGAGGGTACATTTCAAATGTCTCATCATAAAAATTGTCAGTAAATTAGGGGATGGACATGTTAATTAGTTTGATCTCATCATTCCACATTGTATACACATATCAAAACATCACATAAATGTGTACAATTATGATTTGTCAATTAAAATAACGTTAGTTTAAAAAATAAGTAACTTGTTCAAAGCCCCAGTCGAGGTTGATGGAGATGGGACATGCACCAAGGCTGTTGCTCTCAGGCCCGCAGAGTCCTTGGTCCACGAATGTTGAAGCCCTACCTGAGATTTCTACTGAGATCAATGTAGGGATTCAATGTCTCAGAATCATCCCATCCTCCAGGGCCCACAAGTCCATGACCGCTGCCTCTATCTCCGACCCTACTGACCTGAAATGTGGCCCCTGCTTTCATTTCTGGGAGCATACAACACTTACACCAAGCACTGATGGGTTTTGTTGACTGCATTTGAGATGTGGGGCCAGGGAGAGGGTCCCATGGTCCTTGCTTGGTGTTGGCCGACTCATTGACTTCTCTCCTTTGACTTCACCCTTCCCTTTTCTACTCACCTCCTCTGTCATGGATTGCTCTGGGAATTCTGAGCCCTGGTTCCTTTATTTTGCAGATAACCTTCACTCTTCTCTGCAACGAATCCCAAAAGTATGTAGTTGAGCTGACTGCAAGGTGCTTGAGACGCAAGAGACTCCACAAATGGGATTCGGCCTCTGGAAAGTGGTGGTAATTCCAGATTTATGTGGCTGTTACTTTGTTTTTCCCTATAAAATACATTCTTTAAACTATCAAGCTCTTGGTTCCTGGCTGCAGTCCTTTGCTGGTGGCAGTGGGCTGGGTACTGCCACCGGGGAGAAATGCTGCCCACTTAGAGAAAGAGAAACTGGTTCTCTTTAAGAGGCAGAGGGAGGTTTCCAGTGCCAGTTTGTTTGGAGTCAAAGTGGCTGTTGTATTAAAATTGCCCAAACTTGGGCTGGTGCCTTGTGTGTTTAGAGCTCAAAGCCACGATTGTTTTCTTTTCTTTTCTTTTCTTTTTTTTTTTTTTTTGGTGGTTGGTTTTCCATCCTTTTGCTTGGCAGGTTTCTGTTAATAGCTTCAACCTCAAGAGTCCCATTATGCAGACACTAATAGCACCTACTATGTTTCAGTCTGTAGTGCCTACTCTGTGCCAGGCATTGGAAATAATATAATGATGAACAAGATAAACATGGCACTTGGAAAAGAGAATCTAGTTCCCACTCTCAGCCCACCCCAAAGAGAGGCCAGAATTGGGCTTCCAAAGATCTCAGATGCCCTTGCATCACCTCCCTGAAGAGGGCGGGGTGAAGCTTTGGTGTCTGAAGAGAATTTGGCTGGACAATCCCCAAGGCTTGGAACGATGGGAAGGAGCTGCCATCTGTGTTTAAGGTGAGAAGTGGGGGAGTGGCTGGATATCAGAGGAAGGCAAGATGAAGAGAAGGTTTTTGTGAGTTCCTATGCATAGTGGAGACCTGTTATAGTGAGGGTCCCTGGGGCTGAGCCTGTGGGTCAGTGGAATGATGCTGTGAGGAGGGTCTTGTTATAGCAGATGGCCCAAAAAAGGCTGACGGATCATGAGCAGCTGGAAGAATGGAGAGTTCGGGGGATGTAGTTCCTGCCAGGGTTTCCAACAGTGTGTATGCCCAGAATTCTTACGTAAGCCCATGGAGAAGGGAAAGGAATGCTGGTAATGACAAGATTGAATTCTCCACCTGCCAGGCATCCAGGAACTCAGAGCAGATTTAACTGAAGTTACAGAAATAGGAATGTGACATTTCCTACATCCGGGTGTGCTGGAGCAAAATGTATTCCCTCTCTGGTTTGTGGGGAAGGAGAATGCTAACAGACAAGACTCCAGGTTTTCGCTCTTAAACCTGGTGCCTAGAAATGAATTTTCTACTGGATGCAGACAGAAGCTCCATATAGACATATCCATCGCTGCATCTTTCATGCCTTGTGTTCTCCCTAATTTTCCCTTTTTAACCCACAGAGGAAGAAAGTTCCAGCATCACTTCTGGCCTCTCAAGAGTGAGTTAGGTGGCCAGGGGGGGTTATTAATGCCTGTAATCTCATAATGAAGGGGTGGCCTGCCCCTCCACACCTGTGGGTATTTGTAGTCAGGTGGGATGAGAGATAGAAAAGAAATAAGACACAGAGACAAAGTGTAGAGAAACAACAGTGGGCCCAGGGGATCGGCGCTCAACATACAAAGGATCTGCACTGGCAACGGCCTCTGAGTTCCCTCAGTTTTTATTGATTATTATCTTCATTATTTCAGCAAAAAGGAATGTAGTAGGAGGGCAGGGTGATAATAAGGAGAAGGTCAGCAACAAACATGTGAGCAATAGAATCTATGTCATAATGAAGTTCAAGGGAAGGTACTATGACTGGACGTGTACATAAGCCAGATTTATGTTTCTCTCCACCCAAACATCTCAGTGGAGTAAAGAATAACAAGGAAGCATTGCTGTAAACATGTCTCGCCTCCCACCATAGGGCGGTTTTTCTCCCATCTCAGAATTGAACAAATGTACAATCGGGTTTTATACCAAGACATTCAGTTCCCAGAGACAGGCAGGAGACAGTGGCTTTCCTCTATCTCAACTGCAAGAGGCTTTCCTCTTTGACTAATCCACCTCAGCACAGACCCTTTATGGTTGTCGGGCTGGGGGACCGTCAGGTCTTTCTCATCCCACGAGGCCATATTTCAGACTATCACATGGGGAGAAACCTTGGACAATACCCAGCTTTCAAGGGCTGAGGTCCCTGCGGCTTTCCACAGTGCATTGTACCCCTGGTTTATTGAGACTAGAGAATGGCGATGACTTTTACCAAGTATACTGCTTGCAAACATTTTGTTAACAAGGCACATCCTGCACAGCCCTACATCCCTTAAACCTTGATTTCATACAACACATGTTTTTGTGAGCTCCAGGTTGGGTCAAAGTGGTTGGGGGCAAGGTGGCCGGGGCAAAGCTACAGATTAACAACATCTCAGCAAAGCAATTGTTTAAAGTACAGGTCTTTTTCAAAATGGAGTCTCTTATGTCTTCCCTTTCTGTGTAGACACAGTAACAGTCTGATCTCTCTTTCTTTTCCCTACATATCCCCCTTTTCGTTTTCACAAAACCACCACCATCATCATGGCCCCTTCTCGCTGGTCGATGTCTCTCTTGAGCTGCTGGATACACCTGTAGAGTAACAATACAAAGGACAGACATACAAGGATTAATACAAAATTTACAATAGTGGAACTTCCAGTGGTCTTAACCCAAGTGACAGGGGGCAAGAGGACGGTGTGGGTGCTGCGGCACGCAGGCAGTCTCCCATGTCCTTTGTGTCTTAGTTGCTATTTCTCATAGTTTTCAGTCTTTCTCCTCACCTGCTGACTCGCACCTTTTATCTTTGTCTCCCTTCTCTTACAGTCTCTCTCTCTCTCTTTTACACTACCTCTCTCCCCAGTCTCACTTTCTGTGTCTCTCTCTGATCTCTGTCTCTTTTTCTTTCTCTTCCTCTCCCTGGCTCTCCACATGTGCCGTTTCCTTGGTGGATGGTAACTTCATCTGTTCTTCTGATATCACCATTTTGTTCACCCTGCGAGTCGATGATGCTCGATTACGGGTTTTCTGTCTCTGCGGAGGCACTTTCATTTGCATCTCTGATGGGTTCATTGTAGAACTTCAAATGTCTAGTGAGTATCCAAACAGGAAGCTGATTTTCTCCTGGTGAAACACAAGAAAAACCTCTCCCCCATGTTATCACCTTACCTATTTCCCATATTTTGTTTCTGTTGTCTTTCCACCAAATCAGTTTTCCCTCATGTGGGCTGTTCTTTTTACCAGTAAAATGTTCTGCAGAAGTAGTGGTCTGATTTCTATGTATGTTCAGAAAATTTAAAGTATAGAGTGTTAGATTAAGTTGCATCTGGGGAGTGTTATACTCCTTACTGTGTTTTTCCTTTTTTTGTTAACCAATTGAGCTTTGAGTGTTCTAAGCAGGACAGGTAAGATCTGCGTCTGGCACAGCCAGCCAGGTCTCCTTACCCTCTGCTTCCCTTTCTGCCTGTGACTGAATGGGTATGTCAGGGTCTAGTAGGGGATCCAGGAGGAGGAAGCCTCATTAACTTCTATTCTGCAGCAATTGATGGCCACCCAACTTGAACAGTGGGGGCTTATCACCTCATGTACTAAGACCAGAGATAGCTGATGCCAAGGTTGGCTAAATTAGTAGCTTGAGATGTTAGGTTTTTCATTTGAGGTTTCTATGCTGCTATTGTCTTCTGCTCTTGGTCACAGAGGCTGCCACAATCCGCATGTCAAGTCCTCCTGTGACAATATCCAGAGACAGCAAGGAAGAGGTACAGTGTATTCCTGCATGTTTCTTAAAAACGTTTTTGATAGAGAATAATTGTACACATTTATGGGGTCCATGTGAGATTCTGGTACATGCATGCAATGTGTAATGATCAAATCAGGGTCTTTAGGATATTAATCACCTCAAACATTGATCATTTCTTTGTGTTGGGAATATTTCAAATCTTATTGCTATTTAGAAATATACAATAAATCCATTTATCAAGATACAAAATCTATGTGCACAAATCAGTAGCAGTGCTATACACCAACATCTACCAGGCTGAGAATCAAATCAAACCCTTTTATAATAGCTGTAAAAATAAAATACGTAGGAATATACCTAACCAAGGAAGTGAAAGACCCCTACAAGGAAAACTACAAAACACTGTTGAAAGAAATCATAGATGACATAAACAAATGGAAACGCATTCCATGCTCATGGATGCATAGACTCAATATTGTGAAAATGACCATACTGCCAAAAGCAGTCTACAAATTCAATGCAATTCCTATCAATATACCATCATCATTCTTTATAGAACTAGAAAAAAATGCCAAAATTCATTTGGAACTAAAAAAGAGTCTGCATAGCCAAAACAAAACTAAGCAAAAAGAACCAATCTAGAGGCATCACATTACCCAACTTCAAACTATATTACAAGGCTATAGGCACCAAAACAGCATGGTGCTGGTATAAAAATAGGCACATGACCAATGGGACAGAGTAGAGAACATAGAAATAAAGCCAAATACTTAACAGCCAACTGATCTTCGACAAAGTAAACAAAAACAAAGTAGGGAAAGTACCCCCTATACAACAAATAGTGCTGGGATAATTGGCAAGCCACATGTAAAAGAATAAAACTGGATCCTCATCTCTCACCTTATACAAAAATCAACACAAGATGGATCAAAGACTTAAATCTAAGGTCTGAAACCATAAAAATTCAGAAGATAACATTGGAAAACGCTTCTACACATTGGCTTAGGCAAACAGTTCATGACCAAGAACCCAAAAGCAAATGCAACAGAAACAAAGATAAATAGATGGGACTTAATTAAACTAAAAGCCTCCTGCACAGCATAGGAAATAATCAGCAGAGTAAACAGATCACCCACAGAGTGGGAGAAAATTTTCACAAACTGCATCTGACAAAGGACTAATGTTCAGAATCTACAGGGAACTCTAATCAGCAAGAAAAAAATAATCCCATCAAAAAGTGTGCCAAGGACATGAATAGACAATTCTCAAAAGAAGATATACAAATGGTCAACAAACATATGAAAAAATGCTCAATATCACTAATTACCAGGGAAATGCAAATCAAAACCACAATGCAATACCACGTGTAAAATAAACAAAAATAGGGCCGGGTGCAGTGGCTCACACCTGTAATCCTAGCACTTTGGGAGGCCGAGGTGGGTGGATCAGGAGGTCAGGAGTTTGAGACCAGCCTGACCAACATGGTGAAACCCAGTCTCTACTGAAAATACAAAAATTAGCCAGACATGGTGGTGGTTACCTGTAATCCCAGCCAGTCAGGAGGCTGAGACAGGAGAATTGCTTGAACCCGGGAGGCAGAGGTTGCAGTGAGCTGATATCGCACCACTGTACTCCAGCCTGGGTAACGGAGTGAGACTCCATCTCAAAAAAAAAAAAAAAAAAAAAAAAAAAAAACAAACAAAAACAAAAAAAGCAAAAATTGATGTTGGCACGGACGTGGTGAAAGAGAACCCTTTTACACTTATGGTGGGAATGTAAGCTAGTACCACCACTATGGAAAGCAGTATGGAGATTCCTTAAAGAACTAAAAGTAAATCTACCATTTGATCCAGCAATCCCACTTCTAGGTATCTACCCAGAGGAAAATAAGTCATTATATGAAAAAGATGCTTTTGCACACATGTTTACAGTAGCAAAATTCACAGTTGCAAAACTACAGAACCAGCCCAAATGCCCATCAATCAATTAGTGGATAAAGAAAATGTATTTTATGTATATATATATATACCATAGAATACTACTTAGCCTTAAAAAGGAATGAAATAATGGCATTCATAGCAACCTGGATGGAGTTGGAGACCATTATTCTAAATGAAGTAACTCAGGAATGGAAAACCAAACATTGCATGTTCTCACTTGTAAGTGGGAGCTAAGCTATGATGATGCAAAGGCACAAGAATGAAACAGTGGACGTTGGGGGCTCAGGGGGAAGGTGGGAGGGGGTGAGAGATAAAAGACTATACATTGGGTAAACTGCTTTGGTGATGAGTATGCCAAAATTTCAGAGATCACCACTAAGGAACTTATCCATGTAACTAAATACCACCTGTTCCCTAAAAACTATTGAAATTAAAAAAAAAAAGAAATATACAACAAATTGTTGTAGTCACTTTCTGTGATAATGAACACTAGATCTTATTCCTTCTGTTATATATTTTTATACCCATTAATCAACCTCTTTTCAAACCCCTCCTATTCCCAGCCTCTGGTAACTATCATTCTACTCTTTATCTCCATGATGTCAATTTTATATAGCTCCAGGGCACACAAGTCCATAACTGCGGTCTCTATCCCTGACCCTACTGACCTGAAACATGGCCCCCACTTTGATTTCCAGGAGCATAAACCGCTCATATAAGTGAGAACAGGCAATGATTTTCTTTCTGTGCATGGCCTAGTTCACCTAACATTATGACCTTTAATTCCATACATTTAGCTGAAAATGACAGGATTTCATTCTTTTTTGTGGCTGAATACTATTCTATTGTGCGTATATTCCCATTTTCTTTATCCATTCATCCATTGTTTGACACTTAGATTGATTCCATATCTTGGCTATTGTAAATAGTGCTGCAGTAAATATGGGGGTACAGATATCCCGTTGATACACTGATATCCTTTTTTTTTTGGATATATACCCAGGAATGGGACTGCTGGATCATATGGTAGATCTGTTCTTAGTTTTTTGAGAAATCTCTGTATTTTTTTCATAATGGCTGTACTAATTTACATTCCCACCAACAATATACAATAATTTTCTTCACATGCTTGCCAGCATTTGTTGTGCTTTGTCTTTTTCATAATAACCATTCTAACAAGTGTGAGATGATATCTCATTGTGGTTTTGATTTACATTTCCGTGATGATTAGTGATGTTGAATATTTTTTCATAAACTTGGTGATTTGTATATCTTCTTTTGAGAAATGTCTTTATTTTCTGATAGTTTCTTTTGCTGTGCAGAAGCTCTTTCATTTAATTAGATCCCATTTGTCAATTTTTGCTTTTGTGGCAATTGTGTTTGGCATCTTCACCATGAACTCTTTGCCCATCACTATGTACCAGATGGTATTGCCTGGGTTGTCTTCCAGCGTTTTTATAGTTATGGGTTTTACATTTAAGTCTTCAAGCCATCTTGAGTTAATTTTTGTGTATGGTGTAAGGAAGGAGTGTTGTCTTTTCACTCTGTTGATTGCTTTCTTTGATATGCAGAAGGTATTTAATTTAATATAATCCCATTTGTCTGTTTTTGTTGCTTGTACTTTTTAAGTGTTAGCCATACATTGTTTGTTCTGAAGCGTTTCTCCTGTGTTTACTTCCAGTAGTTTTATAGTTGTAGCTGTTACACTTAAGTCTTTAATTGATTTTGAGTTTATTTTTGTAAGTGATGAGAGATAAGGGTCTAGTTTTATTCTTCTGTGTTTGGATATCTAGTTTTCCTGGCACCATTTAATGAAGAGGTTGTCCTTTATTCAATGTATGTTCTTGACAGCTTTCTTGAAAATCAGTTAGCTGTAAATATGTGGATTCATTTCTGGATTCTTTAGTGTGTTTCCTTTGTTTTTGTGTCTGTTTTAATACCAATACTAGCTGTTTTGGTTACTATAGCTTTGCAGTATATATATATATATTTTGTTTGTTTGTTTGTTTGTTTTGTTTTGTTTTGTTTTGACAGAGTCTTGCTCTGTTGCCCAGGCTGGAGTGCAGTGGCGCAATCTTGGCTCACTGCAAGCTCTGCCTCCCGGGTTCACGCCATTCTCCTGCCTCAGCCTCCCGAGTAGCTGGGACTACAGGCGCCCACAACCACACCTGGCTAATTTTTTTTTTTTTTTTTTTTTTTTTTTTTTTTTAGTAGAGACAAGGTTTCACCATGTTAGCCAGGATGGTCTCGATCTCCTGACCTTGTGGTCCACCCGCCTCGGCCTCCCACAGTGCTGGGATTACAGGCATGAGCCACCGCACCTGGCTGCTTTACAGTATATTTTTAAATCAGGTAATGTGAGGCTTCTAGCTTTGTTCTTTTTGCTCAGTATTGCTTTGGCTATTTGGGGTCTTCTCTGGTTCCATATGAATTTCAGGGTTTTTTTTCCTGTTTCTGTGAAGAATATAATTGATAGGGATTATACTGAATCTCTAGATGGCTTCGGGTAGCATGGTCATTTTAACAGTATTAGTTATTCCAACCCACGAGCATGAGATTCCTTTCCATTTCTTCCTGTCCTTCTCAATTTATTTTATCAGTGTTTTGTGGTTTTCTTTGCAGAGGTTTTTTTTTTTTTTTTTTTCCCCATCCTTGGTTAAGTTTATTCCTAGGTATTTTATTTTTGTAGGTATTATAAATAGAATTTCTTCCTTGATTTCTATTTTAGCTAGTTTGTTACTGGTATATAGAAACATTACTGATTTTTGTATGTTGATTTTGTGTCCTGAAGCTTTACTGAATTATACATCCGTTTTTTAAAAATTTTTTTATTTTTTATTTTTTGAGATAGACTCTCACTCTGTTGCCCAGGCTGGAGTGCAGTGGTGCAATCTTGGCTCACTGAAACTCCACCTCTGGGGTTCAAGTGATTCTCCTGCTTCAGCCTCCCAAGTAGCTGGGATTACAAGCACCTACCACCATGCCTGACTAATTGTATTTTTAGTAGAGACAGGGTTTCACCATGTTGGCCAGGCTGGCCTCAAACTCCCAACCTCAGGTGGTCCACCCACCTTGGCCTCCCAAAGTGCTGGGATTACAGGTATGAGCTACCATGCCCAGCCTAATTTACCCATTTTAAGAGTTTTTTGGTGGAGTCTTTAGGTTTTCTGTTTACAAGTATAAGATTATGTCATCTGCAAAGTGAGACAATTTGACTTCCTCTTGTCCATTTTGGATGCCTTTTATTTCTTTATCTTGTCTGATCACTCTGGCTTGGATGCCCCATACTGTGTTGAATAAAGAGTGGTGAAAGTGGGCATCCTTGTCTTGCTCCAGTTCCTAGAGGAAAGGCTTTTCAATTTTTCCCAGTGAGTAGGATGTTAGCTGTAGATTTGTCATATATGCCTTTTCTTATTTTGAAGTGTTCCTTCTATGCATAATTTGTTGAGAGTTTTCATGTTGAAGGAACGGTAAGTTTTACCGAGTGATTTTTCTGCATCTGCTGAGATGATCAGATAGTTTTTGCCTTTCATCTTGTTGATGTGATGTATCACATGTATTGATTTGTGTATGTTAAGCCATCTTTGCATTCCTGGGATAAATCCCACTTGATCATGGTATATTATCTTTTTCATTCATCATTAGATTTGGCTTGGTAGTATTATGCTGAGAATGTTTCCATCTGTGTTCATTAGGAATATTGGCCTGTAGTTTTCTCTTTTTGTTGTGTCCTTGTCTTGATTGGATATGAGGGTAATGCTGGCCTTATACAATGAGTTAGGAAGAATTCCCTCCTCTTCAATTTTTGGGAATAGTTTGAGAAGAATTGGTGTTTGTTTTTCTTTATAAATTGGGTAGAAATCAGCATAAAAGCCTAGTCTAGGGCTTTTCTCTTTTGGGAGACTTTTTGTTACTGATTCAAACCTGCTATTCATTTTGGGTCAGTTCAGGTTTTCTGTTTCTTCCTAGTTCAATCTTGGTAGGCTGTGTATGTCTGGGAATTTATCCCTTTCCTCTAGGTTTTCCAATTTGTTAGGATATCGTTGTTCATAATAGCCTCTAATCATCCTTTTTATTTCCTTGGTAACAGTTGTAGTGTCTCCTTTTTCATTTCTGATTGTATTTATTTGGGTCTCCTTTTTTTTTGTTTTTTTTTTTTTTTTTTTTTTTTGGTTAGCCTCACTAGTGGTTTATCAATTTTGTTTAACTTTTCAAAAAAACAACTTTTATCTTGTTGATTCTTTGCATTTCTTTTTTGTCTCTGTTGCATTTGGTTCTGCTATGTTGTTTATTATTTTTTCTTTCCACTAATTGCGTGTTTGGTTTGTTCTTGCTTTTTGAGTTCCTTGAGGTTCATCATTAGGTTGTTTATTTGAAATCTTTCTACTTTTTTGGTGTAGGCATTTATTGCTATAAACTTTCCTCCTAGTACTGCTTTTGCTGTATCCCATAGGTTTTGCATGATGTGTTTCCGTTTTCTGTTTAAAAAAATTTTTAATGTCCATCTTAATTTCTTCATTGATCCAATGGTCATTCAATAGCATGTTTAATGTCCATGTATTTGTACAGTTTCCAAATTTCTTCTTCTTATTGATTTCAAGTTTTATTCCATTGTGGTCTGAGAAGATACTTGATATGATTTTAATTTTTAAAATTTTGTTGATCCTTGTTTTGTGTCCTAACATATGGTCTATCCTGGAGAATGTTCCATGTGTTGATGAGATGATTGTATATTCTGCTGCTGCTGGATGAAATATTCTGAAAATATCTGTTAGCTCCATTTGGTCTAAAGTGCAGCTTAAATCTAATGTTTCTTTGTTGATTTTATGTCTAGATGAACTGTCCAGTGCTGAGAGTAGGATATTGAAGTTCTCAACTATCATTGTATTGGACTCTATCTTTCCCTGTAGATTTAATAATATTTGCTATGTGTGTCTGGATGTGCTTGTGTTGGTTGCATGCATATTTAGAATTGTTACAGTTTGTTGCTGAATTGATCCCTTTATTACCATATAATGACCTTCTTTGTCCTTTTTACAGTTTTTGACTTAAAGTCTGTTTTATCTGATGTAAGTTTAGCTACTCCTGGTTACTTTTGATTTCTGTTTGTGTGGCATATCTTTTTCAATCCCTTCACTTTCAGTCTGTGTGTGTCTTTACAAGTGAAGTGAGTTTCTTGTAGACGTTGTTGGGTCATTTTTTATCCATTAAGCCTGTCTCTATCTTTTAGGTAGGTAATTTAACCCATATTCGAAGTTATTATTGATAGGTGAGGACTTATTCCTGTCATTTTGTTCATTGTTTTCTGGTTATTTTGTATATCCTTTTGATACAGTTTGGCTATGTCCCCACTCAGATCTCATCTCGAATTCCCATGTGTTGTGGGAGGGACCCAGTGGGAAGTAGTTGAATCATGGAGGCAGGTATTTCCCATGTTATTCTTTTGATAGTGAATAAGTCTCATGAGATCTGATGGTTTTAAAAGGAGGAGTTTCCCTGCTCAAGCTCTCTCTTTGTCTGCTGCCATCCCTGTAAGATGTGACTTGCCTCTCCTTGACTTCCGCAATGACTTTGAAGCCTTCCCAGCAATGTAGAACTGTAAGTCCATTAAACCTCTTTCTTTTGTAAATTTCCTAGTCTTGAATGTGTCTTTATCAGCTGTGTGAAAATGGACTAATACAGTAAATTAGTACCAGAAGTGGAGTGTTGCTAAAAGATTCCTGAATAAGTGGAAGTGACTTTGGAACTGGGAAACAGGAAGAGGTTGGAACAGTTTGGAGGGCTCAGAAGGATACAGGAAAATGTGGGAAAATTGGGAAGAGATTTCCTAGAGACTTGCCCAAAATGCTGATGGTTATATGGACAATAAAGTCTAGGCCAAGGTTGTCTCAGATGGAAATGAGGAACTTGTCAGAAACTGGCACAAAGGTGACTCCTGTTACGTTTTAGCAAAGAGACTTGTGGCTTTTTGCCCCTGCTGTAGACATTTGTGGAATTTTGAACTTGAGAGAGATGATTTAGGGTATCTGGTAGAAGAAATTTCTAAGCAGCAAAGCATTGAAGAGATGACTTGGGTGCTGTTAAGGGCCCTCAGTTTTATGAGGGAAGCAGAGCCTGAAAGTTTGGAAAATTTGCAGCCTGAAAATGCAATAGAAAAGAAAATCCCATCTTCTCAAGAAAAATTCATTCTGGCTGCAGAAATTTGTTTAAGTAACGAGGAGTCAAATGTGAATCCCCAAGACAATGGGGAAAATGTATACAGGACATGTCACAGATCTTCATGGCAGCCCCTCCCATCAAAGGCCCAGAGGCCTAGGAAAAATAGATGGTTTTCTGGGCTGGACCCAGGGCCCCCCTGCGGTGAGCAGCCTAGGGTGCCTGAGTCCTAGCCACTGAAGCTGCAGCTAAAAGGAGCCAAGGTACAACATGGGCTATGGCTTCAGAGGGTGCAAGCCCCAAGCCTTAGCAGCTTCCACATAATGTTGAGCCTATGGGTGCACAGAAGTCAAAAATTGAGGTTTGGAAACCTCTGCCTAGATATCAGAAGATGTATGGAAATGCCTAGACATCCAGGCAGGAGTTTGCTGCAGGGACAGGGCACTCATGGAGAACCTCTACTAGGGCAGTGCAGAAGGGAAATGTGGGGTCAGAGCCCTCTCATAGAGTCCCTACTGCAGCACCACCTAGTGGAGCTGTGAGAAGAGAGCCACCATCCTCCAGACCCCAGAATGGTGGATTCACTGACAACTTGCACTGTGTGCCTGGAAAAGCTGCAGACACTCAATGCCAACCCATGAAAGGAGCCAGGAGGGGGTTTATACCCTACAAAGCCACAGGAGTGGGGCTGTGGCCTTTTTTCTCCCAAGGCCATGGGAGCCCATCTCTTATATCAGCATGACCTGCATGTGAGACATGGAGTCAAAGGAGATCATTTTGGAGCTTTGAGATTTGACTGCCCCACTGGATTTTGGGCTTGCATGGGGCCTGTAACCCCTTTGTTTTGGCAATTTTCTCCTATTTGTAATGACTGTGTTTACCCAATGCCCATACCCCCATTGTATCTAGGAAGTAACTAACTTGTTTTTGATTTTACATGCTCAGAGGCGGAAGGGATTTGCCTTGTCTCACATGAGACTTTGGATGGTGGACTTTTGAGTTAATGCTGAACTTAGTTAAGAGTTTGGGGGACTGTTGCGAAGGCATGATTGGTTTTGAGATGTGAGGATATGAGTTTTGGGAAGGGCCAGGGGCAGAATGATATGGTTTGGTTGTGTCCCCACCCAAATCTCATCTTGAATTCCCACATGTTGTGGGAGGGACCTGGTGGGAAGCAACTGAGTCATGGGGGCTGGTCTTTCCCATGCTGTTCTCATGATAGTGAGTATGTCTCACAAGGTCTGATGGTTTTAAAAAGGGTAGTTTCCCTGCAGAAGCTCTCTCTTTGCCTGCTGCCATCCATGTGAGACATGACTTGCTTCTTCTTGCGTTCCAACGTGATTGTGAGGTTTCCTCAATTATGTGGAAGTGTAAGTCCATTAAACATCCTTCTTTTGTAAATTGCCCAGTCTCAGTCAGGTATGTCTTTATCAGCAGTGTGAAAACAGACTAATACACCTTTGTTCCTTTTTTCTCTCATTATTTATGGTTGCAGTTCAGTGGTTTTCTTTAGTGGTGTTGTTTGAATCCTTTCTTCTTTGTGTGTCTGCTCTGCCACTGAGTTTTATACTTTCATCTATTTTCTTGAGGGTAGATATTGTTCTTTTGCTTCCCAATGTAGGATTCTCTTAAGCATTTCCCCTAGGACCACAACAAACAAGACCCAAACAGTCTTTTTCTTATCTGGGAAATACTTTTTTATTTATGTATTTATTTTTTTATAGCAATGGAGTTTCACTCTGTCACCCAGGCTGGAGTACAGTGGCATGATCATAGCTCACTGCAGCCTTGAACTCCTGGGCTCAAATGATCCTCCTGCCTAGCCTTCTGAGTCTCTGGAATTGCAGATGTGAGCCACTGTGCCAGGCTCCTTCATTTGTGAAGGATAGCTTTGCTGCGTATAGTATTTTTGGCTTACATTTTTTTCTTTTTTTTTTTTGCTTGTAGTATACATCCCCTTTTCTCCTAGCCTGTAAGGTTTCTGCTGAGAAATCCCGTTAGCCTGATGGAGATTCTCTTCTAAGTGACTTGATGCTTTTTTCTTGCTGTTTTTAGCATTTTCTCTTTGTCTTTTGACAATTTTACCATAATGTCCCTTGGAGAAGACCTTTTTGAGTTGTATTTATTTGGTAATCTTTGAGCTTCCTGCATTTGGAAGCTTTCAGGAAGTTTTCAGTTATTATTTTATTGAATAGGTTTTCTATGCCTTTACCCATCTCATTTCCATCCAGAACTCCCAGAATTTCAGTTTTTGGTCACATATGTGTCCCATATGTCATGTAGCCTTGCTTCATTCTTTTTTCTTTCTTTTTGTCTGACTGGATTATTTTAAAAGACTAGTCTTCAGGTTCAGAAATTCTTTGTTTTGCTTGATCTAGTCTGTTGTTAAAGCTTTCAATTATCTTTTGTATTTCTTTCAATGATTTATTCTCTTCCAGGATTTGTGTTTGGTTCTTTGTTATGCTGTCTATCTCTGTTGAATTTCTCATTCAGATCATGAATTGTTTTCCTGATTTTTTTGTATTCGTTATCTGTGTTCTCTTGTATCTCCCTGAGTTTCTTTAATAACATTATTCTTAATTTTTTTCAGGCATTTCATAGATTTTCTTTTCATTGGAATCTGTTGCTGGAGAATTATTGTGCTTCTTTGGAGATGTTATGTTTCCTTTTTCATATTTCTTGCATCCTTATGTGACTATCTGTGCCTCTGACATAACAGTCACTTCTTCCAATTTTATGGATTGGCTTTTATATGGGAAAGACCTTTTCTTATAGCTGTATCTACAATGTTCATTGGATACCACACTTTGGCTTTGATTCTGGGTGGGTACAGTGGTATAGTCTGCATATGATTTCTTCAGCTGTAATTGGCCTGAGTGGTGTCTCTGAGTCATTCAGTGGCTTAGACTGCAGTTTTTTTTTTTTTTTTTTTGGTTTTTGTGTGTGTGTGTGTGTGGTTGATGAGATGGAGTCTAGCTCTGTCACCAGGCTGGAGTTCAGTGACACAATCTCAGCTCACTGCAACCTCTGCCTCCTGGGTTCAAGTGATTATCCTGCCTCAGCCTCCTGAGTAGCTGGGACTACAGGCACGTGTAACCATGCCCAGCTAATTTTTGTATTTTTAGTAGAGACGGGGTTTTCACCATGTTGGCCAGGCTGGTCTCGAACTCCTGACCTCATGATCTACCCACCTTGGCCTCTCAAAGTGCTGGGATTACAGGGGTGAGCCACCATGCCTGGACAGACCACAGTTGTTATTGGAGGATGTGGTGAGGCTTTGCTGAGGATAGGGATGCCAGGAAGTCTTGTCCTTCAGCATCAGTGGTAGTGGTGGTGGACCAGGTTGGTCAATACTAGGGACCATGGGCAGTGTATATGGGCACTGATGATAGCCTGTCTGCATGTGCCAATCCTTGGGTCCCCAGGTGGCTTCTTTGGTTGCTGGCAGTGGCAACACTGGGCCAGGTGGGCAGGTGTGCCACTGGGCTCCTGGGTGGTGTGTGTGGCAGTCTGATCTCTAGTTCTCCAGGTGATGTGTGCAGGTTCTGGTGGTGGGTAGGCAGGCGTTTCCTCAGGCCTCTCAGTAGTAAGTGTGAGCACTAGCTCTGGAGGCAGTGTGAGTCAATCTCCAGGCCCCCAGATGGTACATTCAGGCACCAGCATATTCCTATGCATTTCTAGATAAAAGTATTTTTCAGAAAACCTGAGCATATGTCCTATTAATACAACTTACCCTCATCAGCTCTGCATGAGAAGAAGGGGGAATTCCCTCAGTAGAACAGTCAGAATGGAATCACAGACTTGTTTTGAGCCAGTCACTGGTAAGGGGGATTAGGCTAAAATGATAAGCTCAGACTCTAAACCTTAGACTAGGGAATGGCAAACTTTTTCCATAAAGAGGCAAACGGTAATATTTTAGGCTTTTGGTCTAGATAACTTCTGTTGCAGTGACGCAGTGGTGCCATCGTAGCCTAAAAGCATATGTAGACAATGCATAAATGAGTGGACCTGGGTTTATTCCAGTAAAACTTAATTTATACAAACAGTCAGAGGGCCAGATTTGGCCCCTGGTCTATAGTTTGCCAACCCTGTTTAGAACAGTCAGAATTTATTCCCTGGGGCTGGGTCAACTTTTTCTTAAAAAAAAAAAAAGAAAGCAACCCACTGTCAGAATAAAATAGTGTTTCTATTTAAAAAGAAGAAGAGGCTGGGCATGGTGGCTCATGCCTATAATCCTAGCACCTTGGGTGGATGAGGCAGGAGGACTGCTTGAAGCCAGGAGTTTGAAACCAACTTGTGCAATATACTGAGACCCTGTCTCTGCAAAGAATAAAAAAATTAGCCAGGCATGGTGGCACATGTCTGTAGTCTTAGCTACTCAGGAGGCTGAAGGGGAAGATCACTTGAGCCCAGGATTTTGAGGTTACAGTGAGCTCTGACTGTACCACTTGTACTCTAGCCTAGGCAAAGAAGGATAACCCAAAAACAAACAAAAAAAAAGGTTGGTTGGGGCGGGTTGGAGAAGAAAGTATTTCTGAATTTCTGGGTAGGTTACTGGTAGTGTCAGGCCAAATTAGCTCTACAGTCATATTCATTATAAATAAGGGCAACTAGAAGATCTCCATCTAGCTATTAAAAATTGGTTAAAATCTACAGAGATAAAGGATGGTGACCCTTGTATCCATTAGTTGTTGTCACACAATGCTGCATAACATGTCACTCCAAATCTCAGTGGCTTAATACAACAATTGTTTATTTTCATGGATCTATGGGTCAGCTGAGGATTGGTTAATCTGGCATGAGCATGTCTGGGAAGCTTGACTTTGCACTTGATGTCTCTTGTCTTCTTCTGGAAGCAGCATTCTGGCCTCGGCTTGTTCTCATGGTGATAGCAGGAGTGAGCGAGCACAAATGAATGCACACTTTCCAAGTTTTTGGTCATGCAGATTAATATTCCAGTGGCCAAAGCTAGACACATGACTAAATCCAACATTAGCGGCTGGAGAAATATACTCCGATTCTTCAGTGGGAGGAACTGCAGAGACAAATGACAGAGTCTTGGATACAGGGAGGACATGGATCCATTAATGTACCTTAATCAACGGCAACCCTCTAACCACCAATACAATTAAATAAGTATTTGTTGAATGCACTTGTGCCTGAATCCTTCTTGCTGCAGCCCAGGCAATGGGGGCCTGACTGGGGAGGGACCATAGCAGGGACTCAATGCCCTGCAGGTCTGCATGTAATTGTGTACGGCCGACTCCACATTGGTCATGGCTGACTTGCTTTGTCCTGCGTCCCCAAGGGGCAACGATTGGGTGATTTTATTTCTGAACAGTTATGACAAAGTTGTTTTCAGGAGCCCAGGAAGCAAATCAGTTGTAGATTTGAATTTTGCAGGGGGTCAGAATTGTTGAATATATATATAGTCTTTTACATGCTGATAATTATTTCCATACCACAAAGAAGGCCGGCTATTAGGAAGCTGCTGTTCAATTCCTTTGCCCCTTGAACTCATGAGCTGTGCCTATGTGGGGGGCACTCACTTGTTAGAGCTGTTTCCCTTCATAGTAACATCAGCCAATATTCTAAATAAATGCAGGAAATTAAATAGTCTTCCCCAAACGTGTACTTTGCTCTTCTAAAGTGAATTACACATTGTAAAATAAAACACAGTCACATTAAAAAAACAAAAGGTCTTTGTGTCAGGTTGGTCTGGCTTCAGCAAAGAAAGATAATCTTTGCCTCCAGAGTAGAAGATCCTTGGAAACCACGGTATTGCACATGGCAGCCCCACATCTTGTTTTCTTTTCTTTTTTTTTGTTTTTAACTAAAAGAGTTGACAATTTTATTTTCACATTTCCCAATACAAATGAAAACTGCGTCTTTTTTGGTCCCACTTCTCCCCTCCAAAACTATTCTCTTTGATAGGGTAAGGGGGCAAGTGTTCCTTATGCTGTTAAGAAAACCCAGTATCAGCGCATGATCTCCTGGTGAAGGGAGCAGGTAAATATAAACTCATATAGGCCGGGCGCAGTGGCTCACGCCTGTAATCCCAGCACTTTAGGAGGCTGAGTCAAGCGGGTCACGAGGTCAGGAGATTGAGACCATCCCAGCAAACATGGTGAAATCCTGTCTCTACTATAATTAAAAAAATTAGCCAGGCATGGTGCGCACACCTGTAGTCCCAGCCACTCAGGAGGCTGAGGCAGGGGAATCACCTGAACCCAGGAAGTGGAGGTTTCAGTGAGCTGAGATCGTGCCACTGCCCTCCAGCCTGGGTGACAGAGGAAGGCTCTGTCTCAAAAACAAAACAAAAAAACACAACAACAACAACAACAAACACTGATGTAATGAGGCTTCCACTCTATCCTTATCTGTCTGGTCGAGTCATTCTGGGCTGACTGGGCACCATCATGAGATGGGCAGGAGGTCTCATCATTGGGCACCCAGGCATCATGGGCATGTGGCCTCCCATGGGCAGCCTCATTCCAGGAGCAGGTCCCACTGGCATCATCCCAGGAGGAGGAGGGCCCATCATTGGCATCATGGGAGGGCCTCCCATATGGGGTGCTGCCATCATACTGAGATGGGCGAGAAGTGTCAAATACACGTTAGATTGTGAAGCCTTAATATAAAAAGAAAGCAAAGTATTTTACTAATGTTAAAATATTTTATACACGTAGACCTGGTATTTTGGATAGATTTATTTAAATCTGTGATATTATTCCAATTACCTTCACTTCTTTTGTTTTACTTTTTAAAATGTGGTTACTACAAAATGCAAAAGTGAATGTGTGGCTTGCATCATATTTCATCACATTTAGTGTGGGCCCTGAGGGTCTAGGGGAGTTATGAGCCTTAAGTTGAGGGTGACCCAGGTCAACGTGAATTGCTCTGAAAGAGAAGCAAAGGGCATAAAGAGAACACATAAATGGAGAGAGGGAGCTCAGTCTTGCAGGGTGAGGAAAGGCTTTCTTTCTTACAGTCTGGCATTTCTTCAAAAGCTTAAACACAGAGTTCTATGACCCAGCACTTCCACTCCAGTTTATGAAAGAAATGAAAATATATGTCTATGCAGAAACTTGTACATAAATGCTCATAGCAGCATTACTCACAATAACGCCAAATTGAAAACAACACAAATGCTTGTCTACTGATGAGTGGAGTAATAGAACATGGTTTCACCATGCAATGGAATATTATTCAGTCATCAAAAGGAATTAAGTACTAACACGTGCTACAACACGGATGAACCATGAGAATATTAGGCTAAGTGGAAGAAACCAGTCACAAAAGGTCACATATTATAAGATTTCATTTATATGAAATGTGCAGAACACGCAAGTCTATGAAGACAGAAACCCTGTCTCTACTAAAAATATAAAATTAGATGGGCATGGTGGCACATGCATGTAATCCCAGCTACTCGTGAGGCAGGAGAATTGCTTGAACCCGGGAGGCAGAGGTTGTAGTGAGCCGAGATTGTGCCACTGCACTCCAGCCTGTGACAGAGACTCTATCTCAAAAAAAGTACATTGTCAGGGCTTAGTGGGAGGAAGAAATGGCAGGTACCTGATAATGGATACAGGGTTTCTTTTTGGGGTGATGAAAATGTTTTAAAATTGATCATAATAGTGGTTGCTGAGGCTCTGTGAATGCACTGAAACCATTGATTTGTTCACTTTAAATGGGCAAATCATACGGTACCTGAATTATATTTTAATAGTTGTATTAAAAATAAAATCTTCCTTGAAGAGATGACACTTAAGGAGAGGTGTAGGGGGTGGGATGAATTCACTAGGTAGAAAATGAGGAAAAGCATTTCAGGGTGAGGAACAGCACAGTGAAGTCCCTGAGGGTGATAGGCATAGAGCAGATTTAAGGGACTTTTTTTTTTTTTTTTCTCTTTGAGAAAGAGTTTCGCTCTTGACGGTCAGGCTGGAGTGGAGTCGTGTGATCTTGGCTCACTGCAATCTCTGCCTCCTGAGTTCAAGCAATTTTCCTGTCTCAGTCTCCCGAGTAGCTGGGATTACAGGCACCCTCCACCACACCTAGCTAATTTTTGGATATTTAGTAGAGATGGGGTTTCACCATGTTGACCAGGCTGGCCTCGAACTCCTGATCTCAGGTGATGCACCCGCCTCAGCTTCCCAAAGTGCTGGGATTACAGACATGAGCCACTGCGCTCAGCCAGATTTAAGGGACTTTCAAGAAGTTTGTGTGGCTGAAGCCTGCAGGGCAAGTGAGAGAATCAGGAAATGAGGCTGGAGAAAGAGAGGGGCTAGGTCATGGAGGGTCTCACATTAGGGTGTTGAAACTTCATAGGAGTGGTCCCACTTTGGGCATCCCACGTAACTACTCTGTGTCCCAGCTTCCTCACTGGTGAAATACAGGGCTGATGTAGAGATGGACTGAGATAGTGTGTGCTCAGTAAAGGTGACCTTTTATCATTGTTGTTGTTGTTGTTGTTGTTGTTGTTGTTTTGAGACGGAGTCTTACTCTGTCACCCAGGCTGGAGTGCAGTGGTGCGATCTCGGCTCACTGCAACCTCCGCCTTCGTGGTTCAAGCGATTCTCCTTCTTCAGCCTCCCGAGTAGCTGGGCTTACAGGCATGTGCCACCATGCCTGGCTAATTTTTTGTACTTTTAGTAGAGACGGGGTTTCACCGTGTTAGCCAGGATGGTCTTGATCTCCTGACCTCGTGATCCATCCGCCTCGGCCTCCCAAAGTGCTAGGATTACAGGTGTGAGCCACTGCGCCTGGCCTGGAGTTGTTTTTAAAAGCACATTTCTCTCAAATTAACTCCGGGGTGTCCCACTGTGACTTGGGCAAAGGTTTGGATTTTCTGGAGGTGGAAAGTCAAACTTCAAATAGAATTTGGAGGCTGGGCACTGTGGCTCATGCCTGTAATCCCAGTACTTTAGGAGGCTGAGGTGGGTGGATCATTTGAGGCCAGAAGTTTGAGACCAACCTGGGCAACATGACGAGACCACGTTTCTACTAAAAATACAAAAATTAGCTAAGCATGGTGGTACATGCCTGTAATCCCAGCTACTTAGAAGGCTGAGGCAGGAGTTATCACTTGAGCCTGGGAGGCAGAAGTGTCCTGTGTCCACACCCCATGAGGTGTATCAGCTGACTGAAGATAAAATCGGTCACGCTGTGTTGAGATTGGGGTTGCTGTTATCATACCTCATCCCCACCCCTGCTAGGCATCCACAAATAGTCATCTTCAATGAGAAGTCCCTCCTGTCCCTGGCTGCCTTATTTCATCTGCACCCAACCATATCCATTGCTTGTCAGTGGGTCTCAACTTTTGCTGCACCTTGGAATCTCCTGGGGAGATGAGACAATAACAAGGCTCTCTCTCACTTAGCATGATGTTTGCAAGGTCCATCCCCATGTAGTAGGCACCAGTGCTTCCACTGTATGGATACAGCACATTTTGTTTATTCATTCATCAACCAAATGGCCAGCTTGGTTGTTGCTACCTTTTGGTTATTATATATATTACATGATTCCATTTATGTGAAAGGTCCAGAATAGGCAAATCTATAGAGACAGAAAGCAGGTAAGTGGTTGCCAGGAGCTGGGGGAAAGGGGAGGGGATGTGGGGTTCTTGATGGATACAGGGTTTTTTTGGGGGGGGCGGGGGGCGTTAATGAAAATGTTTTGGAACTAGACAGAGATGATGATTGCTTAACATTATGAATGTATTTAATGATACTGAAGTGTATGGTTTCATACAGGGATTTGTATGTTATGTGAATTTTGCCTCATTAAAAAAATACTGCTAGGAGCAATGGCTCATGCCTGTAATCCCAGCACTTTAGGAGGCCAAGGCGGGAGGATCACGTGAGGCTGGGTGTTTGAGACCTGCCTGCCCAATATGGTGAAACCCTATTTCTATTAAAAATACAAAAATTAGCCAGGCGTGGCGGTGCATGCCTATAATCCCAGCTACTCGGAAGGCTGAGGTAGGAAAATGGGTTGAACCCGGGAGGCAGAGGTTGCAGTGAGCTGAGATTGCACCACAGCATTCCAGCCTGGGTGACAGAACAAGATTCCATCTCAAAAAAAAAAAAAAAAAAAAAACAACACACAAACACACACAAAATACTGATGCCCATGTTTCATCCCCAAGAGATTCTGTAATAATTGATCTGGGTTGCAGAGCCTGGGCACTGGGTTTGCAAAATCTCCCCAGCTGATTCTGATGTGCAGCTGTGGTTGAGAATCTCCTTCTGGAATGAACTTGTTCATGTTTTACTTGTGTTGTTTTCTAGCCTGCCTTTGCCTTTCTGTTTCACTTCACATCTTTGGGGAGTAATTTTTACAATGCAGTCTAACAACCAGCTGCCTCAAAATGCACTGGGATCCCTCATAACCAGGTAGCTTCCCATCTCCAACTCTGACCTGCCAAGTCAGAATCTTGTGGGTGGGGCCGAGGACTGTACATATTGAAACAGGCAGTGACCTGGGAACTATTTCTGAACACCCCTATGTTTCCCCTGTGTTTGCCCTTTCCTTTCACATTTGGACCCATTTGTGTGCTGACCACTGGGCTGTTGCACGTGGACATAGCATAAAAAAGACAGGCCAGGTGCAGTGGCTCACGCCTGTAATCCCAGCACTTTGGGAGTCTGAGGTAGGCAGATCACTTGAGGCCAGGAGTTCAAAATCTGCCTGGCCAACATGACAAAACCCCGTCTCTACCAAAAATATGAAATTAGCTGGGTATGGTGATGCACGCCTTTGATCCCAGCTAGCCAGGAGGCTGAGGCTGGAGAATCCCTTGAGCCCAGGAGGGAGAGACTACAGTGAGCCGAGATCGCACCATTGCACTCCAGCCTGGGTGACAGAGTGAGACTCTTAAAAAAAAAAAAAAAAAAAAGACAGAGATGGTCCTTCCTTTATGGAGCTCTCAGTAAAACAAGAAAGTTCACGATATCCTGGCATTTGTCAGAAATACATTTGGTATATGTAGCTGGGGTCACATGCTTGACATGCCTATTGAAAGCTTCTGGGTAGGAAGAGAACAATCACAGCATCACAGCCTAGCATAACTGTCTCCCAGGACAGGTCTTCCTGGGGAGACTGAGGCCACAACTCTGAAATCAGAGCTCAAATCCAGGTTCTACATTTCCCTCAGTAATGTACATGATGTAAGACAGTTTTTATATTAGTTATCTATTGCTGTGCAACAATATTACTGCAAACTTTGTGGCTTGAGACAGCACACAGTTATCACTGTACGGTTTCTGTGGGTCAGGAATCCAGGCATGACTCAGCTGTGTTCAGTGCAAGGCTGCAGCCATAGTGTCAGCCATGGCTTGGTTCTCATCTGGAGGCGTGACTGGTGATTGATCTGCTTCCCGGCTCATCTGGTTGTTGGCAGAATCCAGTTCCTTGCAGGCTGCTGGACACAGGGCCCCAGTTTCTTGCTGCCCTCAGCTTCTTGCCACATGGGCCTCTCCATCTGGCTGCTCATGACATGGCAGCTCACATCTTCAAAGCCAGCAAGTCAGACAGCCTCCTAGCAAGACAACTTAACATCCTATCTAACATAATCACCACATCCCATCACCTCTGCCATATTCTCTTGGTTATAAGAAAGTCATGGGTCCCTTTGTCAGATGAGTAGATTGCAAAAATTTTCTCCCATTCTGTAGGTTGCCTGTTCACTCTGATGGTAGTTTCTTTTGCTGTGCAGAAGCTCTTGGTTTAATTAGATCCCACTAGTCAATTTTTGCTTTTGTTGCCATTGCTTTTGGTGTTTTAGACATGAAGTCCTTGCCCATGCCTATGTCCTGAATGGTATTGCCTAGGTTTTCTTCTAGGGTTTTTATGGTTTTAGGTCTAACATTTAAGTCTTTAATCCATCTTGACTTAATTTTAGTATAAGGTGTAAGGAAGAGATCCAGATTCAGCTTTCTCCATATTGCTAGGCAGTTTTCCCAGCACCATTTATTAAATAGAGAATCCTTTCCCCATTGCTTGTTTTTCTCAGGTTTGTCAAAGATCAGATAGTTGTAGATATGTGGCATTATTTCTGAGGGCTCTGTTCTGTTCCATTGGTCTATATCTCTGTTTTGGTACCAGTACCATGCTGTTTTGGTTACTGTAGCCTTGTAGTATAGTTTGAAGTCAGGTAGCATGATGCCTCCAGCTTTGTTCTTTTGGCTTAGGATTGACTTGGCAATGCAGGCTCTTTTTTTGGTTCTGTATGAACTTTAAAGCAGTTTTTTCCAATTCTGTGAAGAAAGTCATTGGTAACTTGATGGGGATGGCATTGAATCTATAAATTACCTTGGGCAGTATGGCCATTTTCATGATATTGATTCTTCCTACCCATGAGCATAGAATGTTCTTCCATTTGTTTGTATCCTCTTTTATTTCCTTGAGCAGTGGTTTGTAGTTCTCCTTGAAGAGGTCCTTCACATCCCTTGTAAGTTGGATTCCTAGGTATTTGATTCTCTTTGAAGCAATTGTGAATGGAAGTTTGCTCATGATTTAACTCTCTGTCTGTTATTGGTATATAAGAATGCTTGTGATTTTTGCACATTGATTTTGTATCTGAGACTTTGCTGAATTTGGGTATTTTTAGTAGAGATGGAGTTTGCCAAATGCAGCCCCCAGTCACATACTACCTGCTTGGTTAACCGATCACGACCCTCTCATGATCACGACCCTCTCACATGGACCCCCTTAGACTTGTGAGCCCTTAAAAGGGACAGGAATT
Source organism: Homo sapiens (assembly GCF_000001405.40). Lineage (NCBI taxonomy): Eukaryota > Metazoa > Chordata > Mammalia > Primates > Hominidae > Homo > Homo sapiens. The sequence continues at coordinate 162,287 of NW_021159989.1, read as the reverse complement.
GCTCACTTGGTTAGCTGGGTTATTAGAGATGTGCGCCACCACGCCCAGCTAATTTTTGTATTTTTAGTAGAGATGGGGTTTCACCATGTTGGTTGCCCAGGATAGTCTCAATCTCTTGATCTCATGATCTGCCCACCTCGGCCTCCCGAAGTGCTGGGATTACAGGCGTGAACCACTGCACCCAGCCCAGAGAAGGCTTTTCATACTTGCTTTGCAGGCTCCTGCATCCTACCCCAGCACCAGGTGCTCACCACCTGTGGGCTGTTCTCATCCATGATCATCTCTCCCCAGGCCTGCTGTTCCTCGAGAAAGGAAGTTGTAATGGGCAGAATTCTAGGACAGCTCCCAAGAGACCCACTCCCTTATATCTGTTCCCTGTATCATCTCCTATTCTTGAGTGTGTCCAGAGCTTGTGATTTGGCCAAGGGGAAGGAATTTTGCAGATGTAATTATGGTCACACTTGCTTTGTTAAACACATTTGCTCATCTGACTTTGAGTTCATCCAAAGCAGTATGATCTTAGGTGGGCCAGACCTAATCAGGTGAGCCTTTTAAAGGTGAAGTTTCAGAGATTCAACTCTTAGCCTCCAAGGAGACACAAATGGCCCTGCTGTGAGCTGTCTTTGGAGGTGGCAGCTCTAGTAGCTGAGGGCCTTCATTCAACAATTGGAAGAAAGTGAATTCAGTCCACAAACTGAATAAGCTTGAAAGAGGACCCTGAGCATCTGATGAGACCCCAGCTCCAACTGACACTCTGGTTGCAGTATTGTGACCCTGAATAGAAGACCCAGTTAAACCCTGCCCAGACCCTTGGCTCATGAAAACACATAATAACTGGGTGGTGTTTAAGCTGCTCAGTTTGCACTGGTAAATCCACCAACAGGAAAGTAATATAGAAGTTAAGTGGGCTGGGCGTGGTGGCTCATGCCTGTAATCCCAACACTTTGGGAGGCTAAGGAGGGTGGATCACAAGGTCAAGAGATCGAGACCATCCTGGCCAACATGGTGAAACCCCATCTCTACTAAAAATACAAAAATTAGCCAGGTGTGGTGGCACACAACTGTAGTCCCAACTACTCAGGAGGCTGAGGCAGGAGAATCACTTGAACTGAGGAGGTGGAGGTTGCAGTGACCCGGGACCATACCACTGCACTCCAACCTGGTTAACAGAGAGAGACTTCATCTCAAAAAAAAAAAAAAAAAAAAAGTTAAACGAATAACTTTTGAGCATTGATGGAAGTTGCTTTCATCCCCTCTTACTTAATCATCTTTATCTTAGCCTTGAAAGAGGGATGCTTTAACCCCATTTGTAACAAGTGAGTCTGAGGCCCAGGAAAGTGATAGAATTTAGCAAAGTCCACCTTGCTATCTGGTGGCCCAGCTAGAACTCAACCCCAGATCCATATACCTAAAGTCATTACAACATCCAATGAAATTTTGCCCCTCTCTCCATGCCTTCCTCTTTAGAAGCCTGTTCTTTCAGGGTTAGATCCCAACCCAGTGTTACAAGGTACTGAACTCTGATTTTCACAAAATATAGTAACTACCCCCCAAAATTGATAATCGTATTTTTGAGCCAGGCATGGTTTTTCATGCCTGTAATCCCAACACTTTGGGAGGCTGAGGTGGGTGGATCATGAAGTCAAGAGATCGAGAGCATCATGGACAACATGGTGAAACCCCATCTCTACTAAAAGTACAAAAATTAGCTGGGAGTGGTGGCAGGCATCTGTAATCCCAGCTACTCAGGAGGCTGAGGCAGGAGAATCGCTTGAACCCAGGAGGCAGAGGTTGCAGTGAGTCAAAATTGCATCACTGCACTCCAGCCTGGCAACAGAGCAAGACTCCATCTCAAAAAAAAAAAAATACTATTTTTGAGTCCTTATGTGTCAACCACTGGGCTATCCCAACACCAATAGATATTATGATTATGATTATTTTTTTCCATTTTATTGATGTGGAAACCAACACATAGAAAGGTAAAGGAACTTGCCAAAGGTGATGTTCACACAGCCAAAGAACTGTAGAAGTAGCACAGGAATCCCAGCAAACTCACAGCCAAGCTCTGCTTTTCACCTTCACGTCATACTGTCCTCAGACTAAATCCCAAACTCTGACGTTCCCAATCAAAAATCATACTCAAGGCCGGGCACGGCAGCTCACGCCTGTCATCTCAGCACTTTGGGAGGCTGAGGCAGGTGGATCACCTGAGGTCAGGAGTTCCAGACCAGCCAGGCCAACATGGTGAAACCCCATCTCTACTAAAAATACAAAACTTAGCCAGGCGCAGTGGTGGGTGTCTGTAATCCCAGCACTTTGGGAGGCTGAGGCACAAAAATCACTTTTACCCAGGAGGCAGAAGTTGCAGTGATCCATGATCATGCCACTGCACTCCAGCCTGGGCAAGAGAGTGACACTCTGTCTCAAAAGAAAAAAAAAAAAGCTGTGCTTAAAAATAGCTTGGAAGTGCACATATCTTCTGTGAAAGTTGATGGACTACAATTAGCTTCAAAACACAAATAAGTAACTGTGTTTAAATGAGGCCTTCTGTGTACTAGCTAGAGAAAATCAATGTAGCTATTCATATTTTGGTTCCCCTTCCAGGCACAGAGAAGTTGCCCATGACTCTGTGATCTGTTTTGTCCAATGAACCATGAGCAGGAGCAACTTGAGTCACCTCCAGGTGGAAGTGCTAAGAGGCTCTGTGATCCACCACATTCCCTTTCCCCTGAAGTGATGATCAAGGACATATGCAGAGATGGGACTTTTGTCAACCTGGATCCCTGAGTGAACACAATGAACAGACCACACCACAATGCCCTAACACAGCCCAGACATGTAACATGACCAAGAATAAGCCTCACTGTGGCCAGACATGGTGGCTCATGCCTGTCATCCCAGCACTTTGGGAGGCCAAGGCAGGTGGATCATTTGAGGTCAGGAGTTCAAGACCAGCCTGGCTAACATGGTGAAATCCTGTCAATACTAAGCACAAAAATTAGCCAGACAGTAGTGGCATGGGCCTGTAATCCCAGCTACTCAGGAGGCAGAGAATCACTTGAGTCTAGGAGGCAGAGGTTGCAGTGAGCTGAAATTGCACCACTGCACTCTAGTCTGGGTGACAGGGTGAGACCCTGTCTCAAAAACAAACAAGCAAACAAATACCTCACTGCATGGAGCCACTGAGATTTGGGGATTGTTGTTACTGCACCAGAACCCAAATCATCCTGACCACTAGACTGTCCTAACTAGGGTTTCTTACCAAAAGCAAAGGCATTTTTAAAGTTCGTGGCATTTAAACAAAAGAGCTTATACCAATATCTGCCACTTTGTCAGGCTAACAACGCAAACAAAGCCAACAGCCAGAAGTTAAAAGAACCAGATTAGGTTGAAAACAGAACTGTCAAAACAGGCAAAATTGACTTTGTTTAGTGATTGCAAAGATCATCAGGCAAGACACAGGTGTGGTCATCATATAATTTATCACATGCTTAATTGCACATGTTTGACTAAGAAAAACACAAAGTATTTAAGCTCATCTGTAGTTCAAAGTGCCTGTCCGTGTATTTATCCATTCATCCTGATTTATTTATTGAGCAACTCTTTTGTGCCAGGCACTGTGCTGGGTGGTGGTAATGCAATGATGGAAATGGCAGGCATGGCTCTGCTCTCCAGGAGTTTCTAGGATACAGAGGGAGATAAACAAAAATTAAGTAAATCCATGAAAGAAGTATTGGTGGAACCTGCCCCCAATATTTCAACATAGGTTCTTTCTGTTTTCCATAAGTGTCAGCCAGCTGAGAAATAAAGAGAGACACTACAAAGAGAGGAATTTCACAGCTGGGCCACTGGAGGTGACATTACCTATCAGTAGGGCCATGATGCCCCCTGAGTCTCAGACCAGCAAGTTCTTAATTAAGGGTTTCAAAAGGGGAGGGGGTGTAAGAACAGGAAGTAGGTACAAAGATCACATGCTTCAAAGGGCAAAGAGCAGAATTACTACTAAGGGTCTAACAAAGATCACATGCTTCTGAGGGAACAGGGCAAAGGGTAAAAGCAGAACTACTGATAAGGGTCCAGCAATGATCACAAAGCAAAGGTCAAAAGCAGAACCACTGATAAGGGTCTATGTTCATTGGCGCATGTATTGTCTTGATAAACATCTTAAACAACAGAAAACAAGAGAACCAGTCTGACCACAGATTTACCAGGGCGGAGTTTTTCTCCACCCTAGTAAGCCTTTGGGTACTGCATGAGACCAGGGCCTATCTCAGTCCTTATCTCAACCGCATAAGACAGACATTCCCAAAGCGGCCATTTATAGACCTCCCCCCAGGAGTGCATTCCTTTCCCAGGGTATTAATATTCCTTGCTAGGAAAAGAATTTAGTGATATCTCTCCTACTTGCACATCCGTTTATAGACTGTCTGCAAGAAGAAACATATGGTTCTTTTTGCCCGACCCTGCAGGCAGTCAGACCTTATGGTTATCTTCCCTTGTTCCCTAAAAATCGCTGTTATTCTCTTCTTTTTCAAGGTGCACTGATTTCATATTGTTGAAACACACATGTTTTAAAATCAATTGGTACAGTTAACACAATTATCACAGTGGTCCTGAGGTGATGTACATCCTTAGCTTATGAATATAACAGGATTAAGAGATTAAAGACAGGCATAAGAAATTATAAAAGTATTATTTGGGAACTGATAAATGTCCATGAAATCTTCACAATTTATGTTCCTCTGCTGCAGCTCCAGCCAGTCCCTCCATTTGGGGTCCCTGACTTCCCACAACAAGAAATAATAGGAGGCTAAGGTGGAGAAGAGCAGGGAAGTCCACTTTATAAAGGGGTCAGGAAAGAGCTCTCTGTTGGAAGCACCATTTTAGCTGAGACCTAAAGGATGGTCTAATTTGGGGAGGTGCAGAGGAAAATCATTCCAGACTGAAGCAGCAAGTGCAAAGGCCCTGTTGTGGAAAAAGGTTTGAAAGTCCAACAAAACAAAAGGAAGCCAGAGTGGCTGAAATAGAGTAGGCCAAGGGGAGGAGATAGGAGAGGGCTGGAGAGGTGGCAGGAACAGGAAGAAGACTCAGGCTCTTGATTTTATTCTATGTGCCATGGGCAGGAAAGGCAGGGATGAGACTCAATGGACACCTCAAGATCACTGAAGCTGCCAGGTGGGAAATGGATTGCTGAGCATCAAGATCAGGTGCAGAGGACCAGTTAAGACCAGTTAGGAGGCTGCTGCTGTAGCCCAGCTGGGATAGCAGTGCCCTAGGCAAAGATAACGACAGTGAAGATAGAGAGAGTGGACAAGTTGGATAAAGTTTAGAATCATGGGACTTGCTGACTGGAGAAGAGGGCAAAAGCAGAGTTAGCACAACACGTGAGTTATGACCACCTTGAGCAGCCCAGTAGGGGGTGGTGCCATTTACAGAACAGAGATGGCACAGACAGAGCCCATGGAGAAGGAGGAAAAAGAGAGTTTGGCTTTGGGTTTTTTTTAAGACAGGGTCTCTGGCTCTGTCACCCAGGCTGGAGTGCATTGGTGTGATCATAGCTCTTTGCAGCCTCAAACTCCTGGGCTCAAGCAATCCTCCTGCCTCAGCCTCCCAAGCAGCAGGATTACAGATCCTACAGATGCACTTCACCATGCCTAGCTAATTTTTTTTTTTTTTTTTTTTTTTTGGTAGACAGGGAGTCTCACTGTGTTTTCCAGGCTGGCTTCAAACTCCTGGCCTCAAGTAATCCTCCCACCTCGGCCTCTCATAGCACTGGGATTACAGCCATCACTTACCACTCCAAGCCATGAGTTTGGCTTTGGATGTAACAAGATTGAGGTGTTCATGGGTTGACAAGTGGAAAAAACAAGAAAGAAGTTGAGTGTTTAAGACTGCTGTTTGAAGGAGAAGTCTAGCCTCAAGACAAAAGTTCAGGACTCATCAGCTGAGAAATGGCACTGAAAATTATGCAAATGGATGAGCTCAGCTAGCAAACAGGTCCAGAGAGAGCAGAAAGTCCAGAGAGAGCAGCACTGGGCCATGCACCTGGCCTAATGCTACCCCACTCCTCCCAATCCCTGTGTTATGCTGGAGAGGGTTCAGCCTCTGGTGAGTTTCACCAAACCCCCACATCTCTTTCTTCTGAGACCTTCTCTAAAATCCCCTCTTTTATACTTAGTGAAATGGGATTCTCTTTTTCCCATCCAGCTTAAGCAAAAACTTTTGACTATGAGGGGAATGAGGATGCATTTAGATTTGCTCTGCATGGCTAATTCCATCAAAGATTTCTCATTTTTCATGCCTGGCAGTCTCATTTTCTTCTTTCGCCTCTCAGACATAGTCATAGCCTTAATTAGTGACGTTTTCACCCTTCTAACACTAGCGATTTTCCCCCATCTCAGTTCTCAGGAAGTTCTGTTCACAGAATTATCTCCTAAGTCATCACGTGGGGATAGAAATTGTTCTCTGTGGCCGTGTCTCCCCCTCTAATTCTCATCAAAAAACACAGTGATCTCTGTGCATCAAATATTAAACTCAAGCTTAACAGATCATGCTTTTGGCTTCTCTCTCTCTCTGGCCTGTGGGGTAACAGGTTTGCAGCCTTTGCAGAGAAGACACCAAATTCTCAGGAGGCCAGAGTTTCCAAGAGTGCTTGTCACTCTTGCTCTCTTTCTCCTGCTCAAAATTCAGCACTAGAGAGTGTTACACCATTGCACCTGCAGAGGAGTTCATCTGACTCTAGGGACTACAGAGGAGAGAGATGGACAAACTAACAGGCATTCAGAAAATGGCTACCACAATGGGGAAGAAAATGAAAGTCAAACCAAATAAGCCATGGTCAAAAAAAAAAAAAAAAATCTAGAGGGCAGCTGCAGTGGCTTACACCTGTAATCCCAGCACTTTGGGAGGCCAAGGCAGGTGGATCACTTGAGATCAGGAGTTCGAGACTAGCCTGGGCAACATAGTGAAATCACATCTCTACTAAACATACAAAAATTAGCCAGGTGTGATGGTGGGCGCCTGTAATCTCAGCATTTTGGGAGGCTGAGGTGGGTGGATCACCTGATGTCAGGAGTTTGAGACCAGCCTGGCCAACATGGTAAAACCCGATTTCTATTAAAAAATACAAAAATTAGCCAGGTGTGGTGGCAGGTGCCTGTAATCCCAGCTACTTGGGAGGCTGAGGCAGGAGAATTGCTTGAACCCAGGAGGCAGAGGTTGCAGTGGGCAAAGATTGCACCACTGCACTCCAGCCTGGGCAACAGTGAGACTTTGTCTCAAAAAAAAAAAAACAAAAAAACAAAAACAAAAACCTAGAAATGTCCATCCAGGCTGAAGAGAATATTCCAGAGCAGGGGATGGGATACTATGGCCCATGGGTCAAATCTGACCTGCTGCACAAGTTTTTGTCAATAAAGTTTTATTGAAACACAGCCATGCCCATTTGCTACATATTGTCTATGGCTGCTGGATTAGGCTGTTCTCTCATGCTATAAGGAAATACCTGAGACTGGGTAATGTACAAAGAAAAGAGGCTTAATTTGCTCACAGTTTTGTAGGCTGTACAGGGAGCATGACACTGACATCTGCTGAGCTTCTGTGGAGGCCTCAGGAAACTTACAATCATGGCAGAAGGTGAAGTGGGAACAAGAGAGTGAGGAGGGAGGTGCTACGCACTCGTAAACAACCAGATCTTGCAAGATCTCACTCACTATTGCAAGGACAGGACGAAAGGGATGATGCTAAATCATTCATGAGAAATCCACCCCCATGATCCAATCTGTCCCCACCAGGCCCCACCTCTAACACTGGGGATTACATTGCAACATGAGATTTCGGCGGGGAGACATATTCACCCTATATCAGCTGCTTTCATGCTATGGGTGGCAGAGTTGAGTAACTACTACAAGAGACTGTATGGCCCATGAATTCTAAAATATTTACTATCTGATGCTTTCAAGAAATTTTACAAAGCCTGCTCTTGAAAAGGAAGGGAAGGAAGAGGAGAGGAGGAAGGCAGGAAGGAGCAGAGAGGGACACGGGGCTGTATTCAAACATCTGTTGTTAAGAAAGAGAAATTCAATTTATTTGGCATGGCCCAAGTTATCAAACTAGGAACACTCCATTGAAGTTTCAGAACAAACACTGTGCTGAATATAAGGATGACCCCATCTGTAAAGCCTAACCTTGTTTTTATTAACTTTGTTCGTAGACGTTCCTTTTCTTTTAATCACTTAGCCTTGTTTCTACCTGAATTGACTTTCTTTTAGCTAAGAGAGCTAGACAGACTTTATCTTGGCTTTTTCACTGGCAGCCCCTTCCTCAAGGACTTAACTTGTGCAAGCTGACTCTTAGCACATCTAAGAATGCAATTAACTGATAAGATACTGTGGGGCGAGCAATATCCACAGTTCCTAGGAATTCGTCTGATTGATAATGCCTAAAGCCCCGTGTCTATCACTTTGTAATAGTCTTAAAGCCCTTAGACCTAGAACTGTTTACTTTCCTGTAACAATTTATCCTTTTAACTTCTTTGCCTACTTCTGTAAAATTGTTTTAACTAGACCCCTTTCCCCTTTCTAAACTAAAGTATAAAAGAAAATCTAGCCCCTTCTTCGGGGCTGAGAGAACTTTAAGCATTAGCCGTATCTTGGCCACCGGCTAAATAAAGACTCATAATTCGTCTCAAATTGTGGCATTTTCTCTAACTCGCTCAAGTACAACATTTGGAGGCCCTAGTGAGAAACGCCACCAGGCGAGAGCCGGGCTTGCTCCGGGCCCCCCCGGAAGGACGGCCGGCTTGTAATGGGGGCGCCACCTGAAAAAAAATTTTCAGGTCCCCGAAAGGTGACCGTCTTCCGGAGGAGAGCAGATCGACTACCGTGTGGGTGCCCACAAAAATTCCACCTCTGAGTCCTCAACTTGTGACCCCGAGGTCAGGTAGGTCAGATTTGACTTCAGTTCTAGTAAGAGGGAAGCGGCCCTGATGACGACGTCCCTCTTTTGACTCTGCCCATTTCCCTAGGATGCTAGAAGGTAGAGCCCTGGTTTTCTGTTAGGCACGTCTGTGTCTCTGTCTAGGAGGGAAGTGGCCCTGACAGGGGCCCTCCCTTGACTCAGTCCACATCCCAGGATGCTGGAGGACTGAGTCCTGGTTTCTGGCAGACCGGTCACTCTCTCTCTCTCTCTCTCTCTCTCTCTCTCTTTCTATCTCTCATCTTTCTCTTGTTCAAGTTTCTTGAAGAATCTCCAAGAAAGAAAGAAAAAAAAAACTGTTATAAACTCTGTGTGAATAATGAATGAATGAGGGAGGACAAGGGCTTGCGCTTGTCCTCCAGTTTATAGCTCCACGGTGAAAGCTACGGAGTTCAAGTGGGCCCTCACCTGCGGTTCCGTGGCGACCTCATAAGGCTTAAGGCAGCATCAGGCATATCTCGATCTGAGCCGGAAGTTTATACCGGCCTGCCAATGCTAAGAGGAGCCCAAGTTCCCTCAGGGGGAGCGGCCAGGCAGGCATCTGACTGATCTCATCACAGGACCCCCTCCCCTTGTCTGTCTAAAAAAAAAAAAAAAAGGAAGAAACTGTCATAACTGTTTACATGCCCTAAAGTCAATTGTTTATGTTGATTGTTCTGTTCAGTGTCTATTTTCTTGTTTAGTAGTTGTCAAAGTTTTGCATGTCAAGACGTTGATATTGCCCAAGACATCTAAGTAAAAACTTCTTCAAAGTCCTTAGTGCTGATTTTTTGTCACAGGAGGTTAAATTTCTTATCAATCATTTAGGCTGGCCACCACAGTCCTGTCTTTTCTGCCAGAAGCAAGTCAAGTGTTGTTACAAGAACAAGTGTGAAAAACATTTGCCTGATTAAGATTTCTAGCACCATGAAAGTTGTAAGTATTTGGATTGTCATACCCCACGTCCAAGTGATTAGACCTCCTCTAAACTAAACCAGTAGTAAATTCAAAACAGCCACCATGCAGATTTCCTTGCTCACTTCTTTTGTCATTCTGTAACTTTTCCTGTGCCCTGAAGTAGAACGTATGCCCGTACTACTTTACTTCGTTGAGATTCTTACTCTGTTCCTCTGTGGCTACTCTCCCATCTTAAAAATGATCTGAGTAGTCCTTTTTGCATCGTCCCTGCCCTCTACCCTGCACGTCTCATTTTCTGGTGTGACAGCAAGTTCAGCATCTCCATGACTTGACTCTGCTCTCACTCCTTAAACCCTTAAAAGAAAAAGCTAAGTTTAAGCTATTTGCCTTTAAGTCATAAAGACACCAAAAGTATTTAAAGTACAGATCTAGAAGAAGAAGAACGCCTAGATCAAACTGACCCAGAAGATCTCAGGCTGGCTCTAGTCCTCCTCCCTCAATCTTAAAGCTACAGTAATGTAGCAAGTAGCATTAGCTGTTGTAGTTTTTCTGCTCTTTCTAGTCATGTTGATTCTGTTCTTTCAATACTCCAGTCCCCTAAGAAATAAGTTTCTCTGTCCATGCTAAGTTTAATATTTATGCTCAAATCTTATTAAATTGCCTTCAAAAAAAAATAAGAAACACTTCCTCCCAGCCTTGTAAAAGTTAAAGCCCTCTCCAATGTGTGCTGCAGAATTTTCCTCTCAGTTTCTCAGAGGATTATAAAGTCCGCCTTAAAAAAGGCAAACTCCAGACACTGTGCAAAATAAAATGGCCAAAGTTTAAAGTCAAGTGGCCCCCTGAAGGGTCGTTGAACCTCACAATTGTTCAAACTGTGTGGCAGGTTCTTACTGAAACTCCTAGCCACCCTGATCAGTTTCCCTACCTTGATCAATAGCTAAGTTTAGTCAGGAGCCCCTCCATAGCTCCGCTCATGCGCCATTCAGAATTCTACCTCCAAGGTCCTCCTAAGCCAGACCGCGTTTTCACCTCGACCCTCAGCCGGTTCGGCTTCCCCTGTACTGCCTCCCTCTGAAGAAGAGGAGAGTCTCCCTCACCCAGTCCCACCGCCTTACAACCAGCCTGCTCCCTTAAAGTTATCCCATGTCTCCTCGACGACGTCCCCTGTAGGCTCGCCACCCATTGCCTCTCAATCGCGACCGTGGCAGGAAGAAGTAGCCCCTCTACTACCACTGAGAGAGGCACAAGTCCCTCCAGGTAATGAGCGCTCAGCCCCCTTCTTAGTTTATGTCCCTTTTTCTACTTCTGACTTATATAATTAGAAAACCCATAATCCTCCCTTCTCTGAGAAGCCCCAGGCTTTGACCTCTCTAATAGAGTCCGTACTCTGGACTCACCTGACCACCTAAGATGATTGCCAACAGCTCCTTTTAACCCTTTTCACCTCTGAAAAAAACGAACGTATCCGAAAAGAAGCCAAAAATAATTCCTCACATCAGCCAATAGACCGGAAGAAGACACTAGAGACCTCCTTGAAGAGGTCTTTCCCTCTACCTGGCCTAACTGGGACCCAAATTCCTCAAGTAGAAGGAGAGCTTTAGGCGATTTTCACCGCTATCTCCTCGCAAGTATTAAAAGAGCCGCTCAGAAACCCATAAACTTGTCTAAGATCACTGAAGTTGTCCAAAGGCCCGATAAGTCACCAAGAAAGTTTTTAGAGCGTCTCCAGGAGGCTTATTGGATTTACACCCCTTTTGACCCGGCAGCTCCGGAAAATAGCCGTGCTTTTAATTTAGCATTTGTGGCTCAGGCAGCCCCGGATATTAAAAAGAAACTCCAAAAACTAGAAAGATTTGCTAGAATAAATATCAGTCAGCTTTTACAAATAGCCCAAAAAGCTTTTGACCATCAAAAGGCTAAAAAACAAAAACAAGCAACACAGGCAGCTGAAAAGGCCGCTGATAAAGCATTCAAAAGACAAACAAAAATCTTAGTGGCGGCTATCCAAGAAGTGCAGAATAAAATAGCCCATTAATTTAGCATTAACTGAAGCCCCTGCTTTAGCCCTCCCTAATATCTCCATAAAAGCCAAGGAGTTGCTAAAGAGGTGCTTACTCAGGCTTTAAGACCCTAAAGACACCCAGTGGCCTATTTATCTAAGAGGCTACATCCTGTGGCCTCTAGATGGCCAAGTTGTCTGTGAGCTGTAGAGGCTACAGCAAGCCTAGCCCAAGAAGATAAGTTTACTCTAAGCCAAAATTTAACCCTTACAGCTCCTCGTGCTGTAAAGACCTTACTACGAAGTGCTTCTGGCAAATAGATGTCAAATGCTCGCATCTTGCAGTATCGAAGTTTACTGTTAGATCAGCCTCGTTTGACTTTCTATCCCACAAAGTGTTTCAATCCAGCTACACTACTTCCTGACTCAGAGTGCACTATTCCTGCTCATGACTGTCAAGAACTGTTAGAAACTATCGAAACTGGCCGATCTGATCTTCAAGATGTGCCCCTGGAAAAGGCAGATGCCGCCGTGTTCACAGACAGTAGCCGCTTCCTCAAGCAGGAAGTAGGAAAAGCCAGTGCAGCTGTTACCATGAAGACAGACGTGTTGTAAGCTCAAGCTTTACCAGCGAACACCTCAGCACAAAAGGCTGAATTGATCGCCCTCACTCAGGCTCTCCGATAAACTAAGAATAAACGTATTAACATTTACACTGGCAGCAAGTACGCCTTTGCTACTGTGCATGTACATAAAGCCATCTACCAGGAAAGCAGGCTACTCACCTCAGCAGGTAGCTGTGATCCACTGCAAAGGACATCAAAAAGAAAACAAGGCTGTTGCCCATAGTAACCAGAAAGCTGATTCAGCAGCTAAGGTCACAGCGCCACTTTCAGTCACGCCTCTAAACTTGCTGCCCACAGTCTCCTTTCCACAGCCAGATCTGCCTGACAATCCCATATACTCAACAACAACAAAAAACTGGCTTCAGATCTCAGAGCCAATAAAAATCAGGAAAGTTAGTAGATTCTTCCTGACTCTAGACTCTTCATATCCTGAACTATTAAAGAAACTTTAATCAGTCACCTACAGTCTACCACCCACTTAAAAAGAGCAAAGCTACCTCAGCTCCTCCGGAGCCATTTTAAGATCCCCCGTCTTCAAAGCCTAACAGATTAAGCAGCTCTCCAGTGCACAACCTGCGCTCATGTAAATGCCAAACAGAGTCCTAAACCCAGCCCTGGCCACTGTCTCTGAAAAAACTCGCCAAGAAAAAAGTAAGAAATTGACTTTACAGAAGTAAAACCACACCAGGCTAAGTACAAATACCTTCTAGTACGAGTAGACACCTTCTCCAGATAGACTAAGGCATTTGCTACCGAAAACGAAACCACCAACACAGTAGTTAAGTTTTTATGCAATGAAATCATCCCTCAATATAGGTTGCCTGCTGCCATAAAGTCTGATAATAGACCAGCCTTCACCTCGCCTATAGCTCAGTCAGTCAGTAAGGCGTTAAACATTCAATAGAAGCTCCATTGTGCCTATCAACCCCAGAGCTCCAGGCAAGTAGAACGCGTGAACCACACCCTAAAAAACACTCTTACAAAATCTTAAAAACCAGTGTAAATTAAGTAAGTCTCCTTCCTTTAGCCCTACTTAAAGTAAGGTGCACTCCTGCCATTCATTCCAGCCAGGAGACCTAGTGTTTGTTAAAAAGTTCCAAAAAGAAAGACTCACTCCTGCTTAGAAAAGACCTCACACCGTCATCCTCACGACTCCAACTGCTCTGAAAGTAGACGGCATTCCTGCTTAGATTCATCACCCCCGCATCAAAAAAGCCAACAGAGCCCAGCTAAAAACATAAGTCTCCAGGCCTAAGTCAGACCCCTTAAAACTGCACCTAAGTCAGGTGAAGCCATTAGATTAATTCTTTTTATCTACCTCACTTATTTGTTTTTGCGCTTTATGTCCTCTGTGCCTTCCTACTCCTTTCTCCTCACCTCTTTCACAACAGGACGTGTATTTGCAAACACCACTTAGAAGGCCAGTACCTCCAAGGAAGTCTCCTTCGCAGTTGATTTATTTGTACTTTTCCCAAAGCCAGCCCATACCCACGAAAAGCAACACAATCTTCCAGTCCCAGGGGCAGGAAGTGTCGACCTTGCAGCAAGATTCAGACATTCCAAGAGCCAAACTAAATGAAGAAGCTCCAAAAGTGCAGAAAAAAGACTCCAAAATATTGACTTTTACCTCTGTCCTAGAAATCACCCTGATGCTAGCTGTCAAGATGCTTATCAGTTTTTCTGCCCTGATTAGACATGTGTAACTTTAGCCACCTACTCTAAAAGATCAACCAGATCTTCAACTCTTTCCATAAGTCATGCTTCTCATCCTAAATTATGTACTAGAAAAAATTGTAATCCTCTTATTATAACTGTCCATGACCTCAATTCAACTCAATAGTATCATGGCATGGCATGAAGATTAAGATTTTATATCCCAGGATTTAATGTTAAGTCTATGTTCACCATCCAAAAAAACCCTAGTCTCATGAAGCCCACCCAAGCCAATCAGACCTTTAACTGATCTAAGTAACCCTATGTTCCAGAAACACCCTGACAAAGTTGATTTAATAGTTCCTCCACCATTCTTAGTCATAAAAGATACACTCCAAAAAGTGCAAGAAAATCTAGACAAGCGCCAACAAGAACAAGAAAATAACATCCCCTAGTATCAAAACATGTTCAACTAGAACCCATAGCTAACCACTCTAATTACTAAATTAGCCAGACCCCCTCCCCATCCTACTAATAAGTCTAATTTTTGGGCCTTGTATATTAAATTAGTTCCTTAAGTTTGTAGAACAACGCATAGCTTCTGTCAAACTTATGTATCTTAAGACTCAATATAACCCCCTTTTTATAACTGAAGAATCAATGATTTGATTCCCCAAAAACACAAGTGAGGAATGTAATGCCTAACCTTGTTTTTACTAACCGTGTTCTTAGACTCTCCCTTTCTTTTAGTGACCTAGCCTTGTTTCCACCTGAATTGACTCTCCCTTAGCTAAGAGAGCCAGACAGACTCCATTTCTTGGCTCTTTCACTGGCAGCCCCTTCCTCAAGGACTTAACTTGTGCAAGCTGACTCCCAGCACATCGAAGAATGCAATTAACTGATAAGATACTGTGGTGAGCAATAACCGCAGTTCCCAGGAATTCATCCTATTGATAACGCCCAAAGTCCCGTGTCTATCACCTTATAATAGTCTTAAAGGCCCTAGACCTAGAACTGTTTACTTTCCTGTAACAATTTATCCTTTTAACTTTTTTGCCTACTTTACTTATGTAAAATTGTTTTAACTAGACCCCCCTCCCCTTTCTAAACCAAAGTATAAAAGAAAATCTTAGCCCCTTCTTCGAAGCCGAGAGAACTTTAAACGTTAGCCGTTCCTTAGCCGCCGGCTAAATAAACAGACTCTTAATTCATCTCAAACTGTAGCGTTTTCTCTAACTCTCTCAAGAACAACACATCCAGCAGGCACGTAATCCACTCTAAAATGCTGTCCTGGGGTAGTGAAGATGATGTTGCTGGAAATATCCTTAAATGGCATGTGGATGAGTTCCCCCAGAGGCATACATGTTGAGCTAAATACTTTGCTGATGAAGGGTACAATTTGAAGGGATTTTGAAAGGCAGAGTGAGGTTCCTCAGAAGGCTGTTGCTACAGACAGCCAGGAGGAGAAATTACATGGAGAGATAGAGTGGCATGACCATTGGATAAGGGTTTTTTTGTTTGTTTTTGAGATGGAGTTTTGCTCTTGTTGCCCAGGCTGGAGTGCAATGGCATGATCTCAGCTCACCGCAACCTACACCTCCCAGGTTCAAGTGATTCTCCTGCCTCAGCCTCCCTAGTAGCTGGGATTACAGGCATGTGCCACCACACCTGGCTAATTTTGTATTTTTAGTAGAGACAGGGTTTCTCCATGTTGATCAAGCTGGTCTTGAACTCCCGACCTAAGGTGATCCCCCCGCCTTAGCCTCCCAAAGTGCTGGGATTACAGGCATGAGCCACAGCACCCAGGCTGGATGAGGGTCTTTAGCAAAGATGGAAGTTTTGGTATCTTGCAGTTTAATCTCTTCATTTATGTCCTCCTGAAATCTTCAGTAATAGCACACTTTATCAATGCTTCTGGGGTCGTACTTAGGGGGACTTAAAGGAGATGTGATGTGGCAGCCTTTGACTCAAGGGAGTATTATACTAGCTCAAAGAGATCTGGGTACATGCCTGTTGAACCAACTCTTCTGAGGATGTGTTAGATCCTGGGAGGCCACTCTGATCCTGCCAACCTTAAGGCCAGATGAGTCTTTGAAAAACATGGTTTGGCTTAACACCAGCACTTAGTTTAACACCCACCATGAATCTTGCTGAAGTGAAGCTATACAAATACCTTTCAAAAGATTTTTTTTTCATTTCAGATCCTTCTTAGAAATTCCTAAGGCTCAATGCTGTGTGGAAGTTTCTAAGAAAGAAAATAGTTTCCGATCTTTGGGATTCCCCTGAGATGGTCCAATCTGCAAAAATTTCATTGCCATTTCCATCAAGGACACTGAGAACAAGAGTCTTATCTGGATTGGATCCTGGGAATTGAGAAGTTTCCTCAAGTGGGAAATGCACCCTCCACAGGCTCACACCCTTGTGGGCTATTTCAGTTACCTATTGCACCCTAAAATTAGAAACTTTAAACCACCATAAGTCATTATTGCTCATGACCCTGTGAGTTGCATGGGGACTTCCTGTCTGGCTTAACCTGGGCTCATTTGTGTGGCTACCTGCAGCTGGAGGGCCAGATGGGCGGAACATCCAGGACAGCCTCACGCATGTTCCTGGCAGTTGGTGCTGGCTGTCAGCCGGGGAACCTTCTTTTCCTCCATGTGGCCCCTCGCCCTCCAGAGCCCCTCTCCAAATGACCCTTTAAGCAGGATAGCCAAGGTTTGCTTGGTGCCAGCATCCAAGAGGGCAAAAATATGGAAACTACGAGAGGGCCCTCAAGGCCTAAGACTATATGCATCCCAAAAATCTGAGGTCTCAGTTAATTCAGAAAGTTTATTTTGCCAAGGTTGAGAATGCACCCCTGTGATACAGCCTCAGGAGGTCCTGACAACATGTACCTAAGGTGGTAGGGACACAGCTTGGTTTCGTACATTTTAGAGAGACATAAGACATCAATCAATATGTGCAAGATGTACATTGGTCCAGTCTGGAAAGGCAGGACAACTCCAGGTGAAGGTGAAGGTGAGACAACTCGAAGTGGGGAGGGGGCTTCCAGGTCATAGGTAGTTAAGAGACAAATGGTTGCATTCTTTTGAGTTCTTGATTAGACTCTCCAAATGAGGCAATCAGATATACATTTATCTCAGTGAGCAAAGGGGTGACTTTGAATAGAATGGGAGGCAGGTTTGCCCTAAGCAGTTCCCAGCTTGACATTTCTCTTCAGCTTAGTAACTTTTTTTTTTGTTGGGGGGGGACAGAGTCTCACTCTATTGCCCAGGCGGAAGTGCAGTGGTGTGATCTCGGCTCACTGCAACCTCCAACTCCAGGGTTCAAGCAATTTTCCCTGCCTCAGCCTCCCGAGTAGCTGGGATTACAGGCGCCTGCCACCACACCTGGCTAATTTTCATATTTTTTAGTAGAGACGGGGTTTCATCATGTTGGCCAGGCTGGTCTTGAGCTCCTGACCGGTGATCTGCCCGCCTCAGCTTCCCAAAGTGCTGGGAACTCCTGACCTCAGGTGATCCGCCTGCCTCAGCTTCCCAAAGTGCTGGGATTACAGGCGTGAGCCACCGAGCCCGGCCTAGCTTAGTGATCTTGGGTCCCCAAGGTTTATTTTCCTTTCACGGCTAGAAGTTGGTCACCATCACTTTGGCAGCATTCCACTGGCCAAAGCAAGTCATAGGCAGCCCAGATTCATGTAGAGGAATATAAACTCTACGTCTTAAAGGAAAGATTGGTTCAATTACACTACACGAGCGTTTGCAGAAAATTGTACCCATCTTTGGAAACTACCACACACACACACACACACACACACACACACACACACACACACACACCTTTACATGTACCCCTCCCTTGAGGTGCATCTACTTCCAGGCAGAACTTAAACTTGACAGTACTCGACAGAAGAAAAGTAGTGTACTAAATGCCAGTTCTCTTCTTACTCAACTTCAGCCTTATTATAAGCAGATTCTAACACAGTTTATGTGTCTTGAGAAACATAGTAATTAATCTTTGGAACTTAAGAATTTATATGTAACTAACCTGCACAATGTGCACATGTACCCTAAAACTTAAAGTATAGTAAAAAAAAAAAAAAAAGAAAAAAAAAAGAATTTGAATTCATAGCAGTAGCCTATGCATAGGAAATATGCATATGGTAAGTTTTTCCTTTCTGATAAATCATGCTGAAGGAACCACAATGTAACTTTTTGTTTTTTTTTGAGAGGGAATCTCACTCTGTTGCCCAGGCTGGAGTGCAGTGGCATGATCTCAGCTCACTGCAACCTCCACCTCCCGGGTTCAAGTGATTCTCCTGCCTCAGCCTCCTGAGTAGCTGGGATTACAGGTGCGCAAGACGGGGTTTCACCATGTTGGTCAGGTTGGTCTCGAACTCCTGACCTCTGATCTGCCCACCTCGGCCTCCCAAAGTGCTGGGATTATAGGCGTGAGCCACCGGCTCACGTATACTGTAACTGTATATTGAAAGTTTCTTTTTTTAATAATTAACAGGTTTAACAGAATATATCTCCTAATCTATTCCTTTTACTGCAGACATCTTTTGCCTTTTCAGCCTAGCAGCCCTCTCCCCTCTATGGAGACTCACACTTCCTACTCCAGTCACGTGCCTCTCATGGGGGCTGCCATGTTCTCACATGACTCCACCCCTCTGGCCTCAGTTGATTGGCTCAGGGATGAACATCTGGCCTAAATTGGCCAATCAGAATTCTTCCCTTGAATATTTTTCCAAACTGGAACCAGGCCAAGTTAATCATTCTCTGTGATGACAGGAACTGTGTGTAATGAGAAATACAGGAGCTTTTGTGACCACATATCTCGCCTTATGGAGAAAAGGCTTGAGTAAGAAGAAATTAAGCTAGTATGCAGACAAACCTAGAGACAGAGATGGAGAGAGAGATCTGATGGTGTCTCCATCCAGAGATGGAGAGAGAGATCTTGTGGTAAGCCCCTTTGTATTTATCAATCTAGTACATGCTTGCTACTGCATACAACCAAGACTTTCACCTGAGAGTTTTTTCAAAGTCAGGCATGGAATATGTCAGAAAAGCCACAGAAGCCGGGTGCAGTGATTCACGCCCATAATCCCAACACTAGGAGGCCAAGGCAGGTGGATCACGAGGTCAGGAGTTCAAGACCAGCCTCACCAACATGACAAAACCCCGTCTCTACAAAAAAATAAAAAAATTAGCAGGGCATGGTGGCAGGCGCCTGTAATCCCAGCTACTCAGGAAGCTGAGGCAAGAGCATCGTTTGAACCTGGGAGGCAGATATTGCAGTGAGCCGAGATCATGCCATTGCAGTCCAGCCTGGATGACAGAGCAAGACTATGTCTCAAAAAAAAAAAAAAAAAAAAAATGAAAGAAAAAAAAGCCAGAGAGTTGATGCCCTGGGACCAGTCCTCAGCCAGTGACGGATGGGAACCAGGCTATAAATGCTTCAGTATCTTCGTCCCCTAGATGGAACAACTTCGAAATGTGTTCCACATCACCTCCCAGAGGTCCCCAGTGGGGTCAAATCCTAGTTGCCTGGAGTGGTAAGCTTCTCACTGAAGCCCCCTGTGTGGCCTCCTGCCTTTTCATGAATCAGTTCCTCACTCCCCTATTGGTGTTCCCTGGAATCATCTCCTAAATAATCCACTTGCAATCCTGTCCCTCTTTCAGCATCTGCTTGGGGTTGGGGTTGGGGAGTGCAGACCAAAACATGATCCCTTTTCCACTCCACACTAGTAGGATGAGTTTCTGTCACTGGCAACCAAGATTCTGACTATTACCTCCTTGTGAGATAATTTCTAAAATGTATTTGGGAATTTCCCCACCTCCACCCCACTGCGTATGTCATCAATATGTACATTTCTTAACAAAGTTTAATGGTATTCTTTGATCAACCTCAAGTTTCACAAAGCACACTGCACTTTCATAAGGGATCCCCATGACTGACAGATCAGCCATTCAAAAGAAGGGAAGTGTCAGAGATGGCTCTGCTAGAATCATGTATTTTTCAGTAGAACCTGGGTCAGGATGGTGTGGTTGGGAGATGCTTCTGGAGCTCTGAGACCCACAAGCCTGCATGTCCCATGGTGGAGTATTAGCACAACTTGAAAACATAGTGGCAGGAGGAGGCTTCCTCCCTCCCCTGCAGTTCATCCTCCACTATACCCAACGTGCTAATAGATATTGGTTAAATGAATAATGGGGCCAGGCGTGGTGGTTCACACCTGTAATCCCAGCACTTTGGGAGGCTGAGGCAGGTGGATCACCTGAGGTCAGGAGTTCAAGACCAGAATGGCCAACATGGCGAAACCCCGTCTCTACTAAAAATATAAAAATTAGCCAGGTGTTGTGGTGGGCGCCTGTAATCCCAGCTACTTGGGAGGCTGAGGCAGGAGAAGCACTTGAACCTGGGAGGCAGAGTTTACAGTACGCTGACATGGCACCACTGCACTCCAGCCTGGGTGACAGAGCAAGACTCAAAAGAAAAAATAAAAAGAAAGAAAAAAGAATAATGGATTTATTCCTTCCAAACTGCAACTCACCAGAAGAAGAACAAGATGCATCACAATGTTGTGGCCATAATCACCACAGTGACGATAATGAATATAATCAACTCTCGAGCCAGCCACCTCCACTAAACCTAGCAGATCACATCTGGTGTTTCACTTTGGGGATGTTTTAGTGGTCACAGTAGATGGTTGCCTGACTGCTGGCTGTTTCTACTGTGTTTCAGGAATATAGAGATGTGTATGGATGACCCCTAAAATTAATTAGTATGCAATTCTCAAAGAGCCAAACTCTACCCCAAAAGCTACTGGAATGAAAAAAAAAGAGTTTTAATTATCAAAGAGACAAACTAGATAGTAAAAGCATTTATGTTCCCTCGGAGAATCTTCCCAACCAAGGACTCAAAGTGGACTCCAGACCAGGGAATACCTGGGGCCTTGGACATTCCCAATTCTGGTATCACCTCCCATTCTCCTTTAGGTCCAGTTTTCTCAGAGGAGCATACAATGTTCATTGCCACCAAGGGTATCCAAGGACACAAACTGAAGATAATAGTGCTTTATTGTCTCTCAGTCATCTGTCTCTCCCACATGCTGGAAGGAGAGCCAAGTCCAATTTATCCAATTAGAAAATAGCAACATTGGCATCATGAGATCAGCTAACAAAACTTTCAGAGGCAATCTGTCTTCCTACCAAAAGTAACTAACATCTGTGGAGCACTTACCATGGCTAAGGGTCAACGTAAGTGGCTTGCATGCTGCATGTGTCAGGATGGACTAGGTTATGCTGCAGTAACAAATTAACCCCAGAGTCTCAGCAGCTTAGCAACCAAGGTTGATTTCTTACATTCCATGTCCACAATGGGTTGGCTGGGTATGGTGTGCTCCATATGGCCACTCAAAGACCTAGAATAATGGAAATTCTACCATCTTAATGCAGGGATTCTCCCATAGTTACTGCACCAGGAGATGAGAGGATGAGATAGTTATTCCCAAGCCCTCAAATCTGTAGACTAGAGGTGATGTCAGTGACTTCCACTTATAGAGCATTGGACCCCGGCATGGATCCATCTAACTACTGGGGGTCTGGGGAATACGGGGAGCACATGGAAATCCCATGAGCAGTAACCATTCCTGCCAGCATGCATTATTTCATCTGAACCTCACAACCCCATGGAATATAGAACAGAGGCTTAGAGAGTTATGGGACCTGCCCCAAGGCGTCATAGATAATGAGTTGCAGAGCTGAGATATGACCCTCCGCCTGGCAGGACTCAAACCACTAAGCTGCATATTCATTACAAAAGTCTATGAAATTCCTCATACAGCAAAACACCACACCAAGTGAAAAGAAAGCCAAGTTGTGCAAATACACAATAGAACTCCCCTGACACTTCATCTCCTCACCCACCCCACCCCCAACCGAAAGAATCAACCCACGCAAATAACTGGAATGAAATTCTCAGGCAATTTCAGCAGGGGAAATGGGGTTATCTCATCTGGGTCTCACATCCGACCTCATCGAGACAAGACCTTCCCTAAACTTCACCTGAACACCTGGACACACCGTCATGTCTTGCCGCTTCTTGTTACTGGAAATCCAATGATGACATCTTTATACAACTTACAGGTCTTTCTATAAGTGCCAAGATAAATGTCATCCCTGTACCTGCATAACATTCAGAGGTAGGCAAGCTTCTATGTAAAGTGCTAAATAGTAAATATTATCAGCTTTGCAGGACACATCTGATCTCCATCCTATATACTTTTTTTGTTTGTTTTACCATTTTGTTTTCTTTTTAGATAGGGTCTAAAAAGAAAATAAAACTTATCCATGCTGTGATATGGATGAACGTTAAAAACATGCTCAGTGAAAGAACCAGACATGAAAGGTCATATATTGTACAATTCCATTTATATGCAATGTTGAGACTAAGCCAATTGACAGGGATAGAAAGTAGAGGAGAGGTTTCCAGGGGCTGCGGGAGGGGGTATGCAGGGTGACTGCTGAATGGATATGGATATGAGGCTTCCAATGGAGGTGTTGAAAAAGCTCTGAAACTAGGTAGTGGTGATAATTGCACATCATGATAAATGTACAAAATGTCACTGAATTGTACACTTTCAGATGCACAAAATGGTAAATGTTGCATATATTATACCACAATTTTATTCATTCATTTCAGAGATAGAGTCTCACTCTGTCCCCCAGGCTGCAGTGCAATGGCACAATCATAGCTCACTGCTGCCTTTACCGCCTGGGCTCAAGCAATCCTCCCACCTAGTCTTCCAAGTAGCTGGGACTACAGGTGAAGGCTACCACACCCAGGGTTTCTAATTTTTTTTATAGAGTTGCATTCTCACTATATTGCCCAGACTAGCCCAAACTCCTGGCTTCAAGCGATTCTCTCATCTCAGCCTCCCAAAGTGCTGGGATAACAGGTGTAAGCCATCACGCCAGGCAATTTTTAATTCTTGTGCGAAATTTTCAACTAATAAAATCCTTGGATTAAGAAAGTATTGATCAACATGGGGATTAGAGGAAAAACTAATTTTAAACAAGAGAAAAAATTAAATGAGATGATGTATACGTGTACAGTGCCTGGCTCATGATCACTGAGTCCACTGCAGCTTTTTTTTTTTTTTTTTGAGACAGGGTTTCACTCTGTCACCCAGGCTGAGTACACTGGCATAATCACAGCTTACTGCAGCCTCAACCTCCTGGGCACAAGTGATCCTCCCACCTCAGCCTCTCAAGTAGCTGGGACTACAGGTGCACGCAGCCACACCCAGCTATTTTTGTTGTTGTTGTTGTATTTTTGGTAGTGACAGGGTCTCACCATGTTGCCCTGGCTGGCATCTTGAACTCCTGGGCTCAAGCGATCCTCCCACCTCAGCTTCCCAAAGTGCTGGGATTACAGGTGTGAGCCACCATGCCCATCCTGTTGTAGCTATTTTAATAGTGCTGCTGAACAATAATTTGCTCTCCCTATAAAAACAGGACATACAAGCCAAGGAAAGCGCCAATCTAGTTCGTTCTCCCCAGATCTTCAAAATGTTGGTATTATTATAAGAGTCCAAAATATTTCACATGGTTTGATTTTTTTTTTTGGAGACGGAGTCTCATTCCATCGTCCAGGTTGGAGTGCAGTGGCACAATCTCGGCTCACTGCAACCTCCGCCTCCCGGGTTCAAGAAATTCTCCTGCCTCAGCCTCCCAAGTAGCTGGGATTACAGACATGTACAACCACACCCTGTTAATTTTTGCATTTTTAGTAGAAATGGGGTTTCTCCATGTTGGCCAGGCTGGTCTCGAACTCCTGACCTCAAATGATCTACCCGCCTCGGCCTCCCAAAGTGCTGGGATTACAGGTGTAAGCCACCATGCCCGGCCAGTTTAATTTTTTATTGTGGTAAAATACATACAAAATCTATTATTTTAGCCATTTTCAAAGGAAAAATTCAGTGGTGTTAAGTGCATCCACCACATTGTACAGCCATGTCCCCCATCCATCTCCAGAACGCTTTCATACTGTCCTGCAAATATGCGGCACCTTGCTACACTCCGGGTTGTTTGTCTCACAACAGAACTGGGCAGAATTATTAATGTGGACTTTGTTCAACAACGGACTAAAGAGGGAGAAGCCCATGAACTCTGTGAGGAGTGCATAACAGGTGCTAGTGGGGTGACAGGGCTCGGGGCTCTCCAGCTGCTGCTGCTGCTGCCGCCTGTCCTACTGGGTAGCCACCCTGTCCCAGGGAGGAAGAGCACTCAGAGCTACTGCTGATCTCCTTCCAGGGCTTCCACTGGGACTAGGATCAGGATGTGGACACCCCCAAACTGGACCGTCAGGCCGGGGAGAGCCTCAAGGCCAAGTACCTCATGCCGCCCTTTGTCACGATGACCTCCCCGTCCCACTTCACCACCATCCCGGGTAAGCACCACTCTGCCCATTTCACCCGATGACCATCAAAGCCCCAGCACCCATCATTCCTGGAATAAGAAGCAGACCTCAGTCAGCTCTAGGGAGGCTGAGGCGGCTCCAGGGTCTCACTCTGTTGCCCAGGCTGTAGCTCAATGGGATAGTCACAGCTCAGTGGAGCCTCAAACTCCTGGTCTCAAGCAGTCCTGCCTACTACAGGCTCTCCAGTAACTGGGGATACAGACCAACCACTGTGCCTAATTTTCTCATTTTTTTAGAGATTGGAGCAGGGGGTGTCTCACTATGTTGCCTAGGCTGGTTTTGAACTCCTGGCCTCAAGTGATCATCCCGCCTCAGCCTCCCAAAGTGCTGAGATTAGAGACATGAGCTACTGTGCTTGGCCTGATCTTTTTTAAAAAAGTAAATAAGGCCGGGCATGGTGGCTCACCCCTGTAATCCCAGCACCTTGGGAGGCTGAGGCAGGTGGATTACCTGAGGTCAGGAGTTCAAGACCAGCCTGGCCAACATGGTGAAACGTCATCTCTCCTAAAAATACAAAAATAAGCTGGGCGTGGTGGCAGACGCCTATAACCCCAGCTACTCGGGAGTCTGATACAGGAGAATCACTTGAACCCAGGAGGTGGAAGTTGAAGTGAGCTGAGATCATGCCATTGCACTCCAGTTTGGCCAATAGCACAAGATTTTGTCTCAAAAATAAATAAATAAATAAAAGTAATAAAAATAAAAAGGTAAATAATTTAAATCACTTTTAAAGAATTGTATAAAAATAATAAAACATTGACATTTACAGAGCTCAGTTAGATGAGGTGACTCATACCCTCCAATGGTGTCCTGGTTCTCTTACATGAGAATTCAAATGTCTTTCTGTGGCCCAAAAGATCCCATGCAGCCTGGCCACTGGCCTATCTTCTGCCAGCCTCTCTCATCTCTCTCCCTCTCCTTCACTTCCCTCCAGATCACAAAGGCCTTTTGCCTGTGCCTTCTGCCCTGCTCCCTCCAGCCCCAGGGACTTGGCCTGTGCTAGTCCAGTCCCTCCAGCACACCAGGAGCATGCAGTCTAGCTGGGGAGACAGACACCAGACACCCTAACAGGCACATACATCCTGTGACAACTCAGGAGGCACCAAGGAGGAAAACGAGTTTTCCAGGCACAGACTACAGGGGTAAACTGGCTTCAAACTAGAGAGGGAGAAAGGGGCTCTCTGAGCATGGGGCAGTTGAGCTGAAAGAGATCTCAGGGGACCAGAGCAAGGAAAAATGTTCCAGGCAGAGGGAACAGCATGTGTGAGGTCTCTGAGACAAAGACCTGGTCATTTCAGAATCCCAGTGGCCACTAAAATACAGGGATTCCAACCTAAAAAGGAGGGAGAGGAGGTGGCTGGAAAGCAAAGGACTCTGTGTAAGCATCATAATAACGGGGGTGGAGCCAAGATGGCTGACTAGAAAGAGCTCCAGTCTACAGCTCCCAGCATGAGCGACACAGAAGACAGGTGATTTCTGCATTTCCAAATGAGGTACTGGGTTCATCTCAGTGGGGAGTGTCAGAAAGTGGGTGCAGGACAGTGGGTGCAGTGCACTGAGTGTGAGCCCAAGCAGGGTGAGGCATTCTCTCACCCGGGAAGCACAAGGGGTCAGAGAATTCCCTTTCCTAGTCAAAGAAAGGGGTGATAGATGGTACCTGGAAAATTGTGTCACTCCCACCCTAATACTGTGCTTTTCCAACAGTCTTAGCAAATGGCACACCAGGAGATTATATCCCGCACATGGCTCGGAGGGTCCTACATCCACGGAGCCTCGCTCATTGCTAGCACAGCAGTCTGAGATCAAACTGCAAGGTGGCAGCAAGGCTGTGGGAGGAGCGCCCACCATAGCCTAGGCTTCAGTAGGTAAACAAAGCAGCTGGGAAGCTTGAACTGGGTGGAGCCCACTGCAGCTTAAGGAGGCCTGACTGCCTTTGTGGACTCCACCTCTGGGGGCAGGGCATAGCCAAACAAAAGGCAGCAGAATCCTCTGCAGACTTAAAAGTCCCTGTCTGACAGCTTTTAAAAGAGTAGTGGTTCTCCCAGCACGCAGCTGGAGATCTGAAAATGGACAGACTGCCTCCTCAAGTGGGTCCCTGACCCCCGAGTAGCCTAACTGGAAGGCACCCCCCCACTAGGGGCAGACTGACACCTCACATGGCTGGGTACTCCTCTGAGACAAAACTTGCAGAGGAACGATCAGGCAGCAACATTTGCTGCTCACCAATATCCACTGTTCTGCAGCCTCTGCTGCTGATACGCAGGCTAACAGGGTCTGGAGTGGACCTCCAGCAAACTCCAACAGACCTGCACTGAGGTTCCTGACTGTTAGAAGGAAAACAAACAAAGAGAAGGGACATCCACACCAAAACCCCATCTGTACGTCACCATCATCAAAGACCAAAGGTAGATAAAACCGCAAAGATGGGAAAAAACAGAGCAGAAAAATGGGAAACTCTAAAAATAAGAGTGCCTCTCCTCCTCCAAAGGAATACAGCTCCTCACCAGCAATGGAACAAAGCTGGACAGAGAATGACTTTGATGAGTTGAGAGAAGAAGGCTTCAGACGATCAAACTACTCCAAGCTAAAGGAGGAAGTTCAAACCCATGGCAAAGAAGTTAAAATCCTTGAAAAAAGATTAGATGAATGGCTAACTAGAATGGATGAATGGCTAACTAGAATAACCAATGCAGAGAAGTCCTTAAAGGACCTGATGGAGCTGAAAACCAAGGCACGAGAACTACATGACGAATGCACAAGCCTCAGGAGCCGATTCGATCAACTGGAAGAAAGGGTATCAGTGATGGAAGATGAAATGAATGAAATGAAGCGAGAAGAGAAGTTTAGAGAAAAAAGAATATAAGGAAATGAACAAAGCCTCCAAGAAATATGGGACTATGTGAAAAGACCAAATCTACGTCTGACTGGTGTACCTGCAAGTGACGGGGAGAATGGAACCAAGTTGGAAAACACTCTGCAGGATATTATGCAGGAGAACTTCCCCAATCTAGCAAGGCAGGCCAACATTCAAATTCAGGAAATACAGAGAATGCCACAAAGATACTCCTCGAGAAGAGCAACTCCAAGACACACAATTGTCAGATTCATGAAAGTTAAAATGAAGGAAAAAATGTTAAGGGCAGCCAGAGAGAAAGGTCCGGTTACGTGCAAAGGGAAGCCCATCAGACTAACAACTGATCTCTCAGCAGAAACTCTACAAGCCGGAAGAGAGTGGGGGCCAATTTTCAACATTTTAAAGAGAAGAATTTTCAACCCAGATCTCATATCCAGTGAAACGAAGCTTCACAAGTGAAGGAGAAATAAAATCCTTTACACACAAGCAAATGCTGAGAGATTTTGTCACCACCAGGCCTGCCCTACAAGAGCTCCTGAAGGAAGTGCTAAACATGGAAAGGAACAACCGGTACCAGCCACTGCAAAATCATGTCAAATTGTAAAGACCATCAAGGCTAGGGAGAAGCTGCATCAACTAACGAGCAAAATAACCAGCTAACATCATAATGACAGGATCAAATTACACACAACAATATTAACCTTAAATGTCAATGGGCTAAATTCTCCGATTAAAAGACACAGACTGGCAAATTGGATAAAGAGCCAAGACCCATCACTGTCCTGTATTGAGGAAACCCATCTCATGTGCTGAGACACACATAGGCTCAAAATAAAAGGATGGAGGAAGATCTACCAAGCAAATGGAAAACAAAAAAAGGCAGGGGTTGCAATCCTAGTCTCTGATAAAAAAGACTTTAAACCAACAAAGATCAAAAGAGACAAAGAAGGCCATTACATAATGGTAAAGGGATCAATTCAACAAGAGGAGCTAACTATCCTAAATATATACGCACCCAATACAGGAGCACCCAGATTCATAAAGCAAGTCCTTAGAGACCTATAAAGAGACTTAGACTCCCACACGATAATAATGGGAGATTTTAACACCCCACTCTCAACATTAGACAGATCAATGAGACAGAAAGTTAACAAGGATATCCAGGGATTGAACTCAGCTCTTCACCAAGCAGACCTAATAGACATCTACAGAACTCTCCACCCCAAATCAACAGAATATACATTCTTCTCAGCACCACGCCGCACTTATTCCAAAATTGACCACATATTTGGAAGTGAAGCACTCCTCAGCAAATGTAAAACAACAGAAATTATACCAAACTCTCTCACAGTGCAATCAAACTAAAACTGAGAATTAAGAAATTCACTCAAAACCACTCAACTACATGGAAACTGAACAACCTGCTCCTGAATGACTACTGGGTACATAACGAAATGAAGGCAGAAATAAAGATGTTCTTTGAAACCAACGAGAACAAAGACACAACATACCAGAATCTCTGGGACACATTCAAAGCAGTGTGTAGAGGGAAATTTATAGCACTAAATGCCCACAAGAGAAAGCAGGAAAGATCTAAAGTTGACACCCTAACATCACAATTAAAAGAACTAGAGAAGCAAGAGCAAATACATTCAAAAGCTAGCAGAAGGCAAGAAATAACTAAGATCAGAGCAGAACTGAAGGAAATAGAGACACAAAAAACCCTTCAAAAAATCCATGAATCCAGGAGCTGGTTTTTTGGAAACATCAACAAAATTGATAGACCGCTAGCAAGACTAATAAAGAAGAAAAGAGAGAGGAATCAAATAGACACAATAAAAAATGATAAAGGGGATATCACCACCAATCCCACAGAAATACAAACTACCATCAGAGAATACTATAAACACCTCTACACAAATGAACTAGAAAATCTAGAAGAAATGGATAAATTCCTCGACACATACACCTTCCCAAGACTAAACGAGGAAGAAGTTGAATCTCTGAATAGACCAATAACAGGCTCTAAAATTAAGGCAATAATTAATAGCTTACCAACAAAAAAAGTCCAGGACCAGTTGGAGTCACAGCCGAATTCTACCAGAGGTACAAGGAGGAGCTGCTATCATTCCTTCTGAAACTATTCCAAACAATAGAAAAAGAGAGAATCCTCCCTAGCTTATTTTATGAGGCCAGCATCATCCTGATACCAAAGCCTGGCAGAGACAAAACAAAAAAAGAGAATTTTAGACCACTATCCCTGATGAACATCAATGCAAAAATCCTCAATAAAATACTGGCAAACCGAATCCAGCAGCACATCAAAAAGCTTATACACCATGATCAAGTGGGCTTCATCCCTGGGATGCAAGGCTGGTTCAACATACGCAAATCAATAAACATAATCCAGCATACAAACAGAACCAATGACAAAAACCATATGATTATCTCATTAGATGCAAAAAAGGCCTGTGACAAAATTCAACAATGCTTCATGCTAAAAACTCAATAAATTAGGTATTGATGGGATGTATCTCAAAATAATAAGAGCTATCTATGACAAACCCACAGCCAATATCATACTGAATGGGCAAAAACTTGAAGCATTCCCTTTGAAAACTGGCAGGAGACAGGGATGCCCTCTCTCACCACTCCTATTCAAAATAGTGTTGGAACTTCTGGCCAGGGCAATCAGGCAGGAGAAGGAAATAAAGGGCATTCAACTAGGAAAAGAGGAAGTCAAATAGTCCCTGTTTGCAGATGACATGATTGTATATCTAGAAAACCCCATCATCTCAGCCCAAAATCTCCTTAAGCTGATAGGCAACTTCAGCAAAGTCTGAGGATACAAAATCAGTGTGCAAAAATCACAAGCATTCTAATACACCAATAACAGACAAACAGAGAGCCAAATCAAGAGTGAACTCCCATTCACAATTGCTTCAAAGAGAATAAAATACCTAGGAATCCAACTTACAAGGGAAGTGAAGGACCTCTTCAAGGAGAACTATAAACCACTGCTCAACGAAATAAGAGGATACAAACAAATGGAAGAATATTCCATGCTCATGGGTAGGAAGAATCAATATCGTAAAAATGGCCATACTGCCCAAGGTAATTTATAGATTCAATGCCATCCCCATCAAGCTACCAATGACTTTCTTCACAGAATTGGAAAAAACTACTTTAAAGTTTATATGGAACCAAAAAAAGAGCCTGCATTGCCAAGTCAATCCTAAGCCAAAAGACCAAAGCTGGAGGCATCACACTACCTGACTTCAAACTATACTACAAGGCTACAGTAACCAAAACAGCATGGTACTGGTACAGAAACAGAGATATAGACCAATGGAACAGAATAGAGCCCTCAGAAATAATGCCACATGTCTACAACTATCCGATCTTTGACAAACCTGACAAAAACAAGAAATGGGGAAAGGATTCCCTATTTAATAAATTGTGCTGGGGAAACTGGCTAGCCATATGTAGAAAGCTGAAACTGGATCCCTTCCTTACACCTTATACAAAAATTAATTCGAGATGGATTAAAGACTTAAATGTTAGACCTGAAACCATAAAAGCCCTAGAAGAAAACTTAGGCAATACCATTCAGGACATAGGCATGGGCAAGGACTTGATGTCTAAAACACCAAAAGCAATGGCAACAGAAGCCAAAATTGACAAATAGGATCTAATTGAACTCAAGAGCTTCTGCACAGCAAAAGAAACTACCATCAGAGTGAACAGGCTACCTACAGAATGGGAGAAAATTTTTGCAATCTATTCATCTGACAAAGGGCTGATATCCAGAATCTACAATGAACTCCAACAAATTTACAAGAAAAAAGCAAACAACCCCATCAACAAGTGGGCAAAGGATATGAACAAACACCTCTCAAAAGAAGACATTTATGCAGCCAAAGACACATGAAACAATGCTCATCATCACTGGCCAGAGAAATGCAAATCAAAACCACAATGAGATACCATCTCACACCAGGTAGAATGGCGATCATTAACAAGTCAGGAAACAACAGGTGTTGGAGGGTATGTGGAGAAATAGGAACACTTTTACACTGTTGGTGGGACTGTAAACTAGTTCAACCATTGTGGAAGTCAGTGTGGCGATTCCTCAGGGATCTAGAACTAGAAATACCATTTAACCCAGCCATCCCATTACTGGGTATATACCCAAAGGATTACAAATCATGCCGCTATAAAGACACGTGCACACGTATGTTTATTGCGACACTATTCACAATAGCAAAGACTTGGAACCAAGCCAAATGTCCAAAAACAATAGACTGGATTAAGAAAATGTGGCACATACGCACCATGGAATGCTATGCAGCCATAAAAAATGATGAGTTCATGTCCTTTGTAGGGACATGGATGAAGCTGGAAACCATCATTCTCAGCAAACATATTGCAAGGACAAAACCAAACACCGCATGTTCTCACTCACAGGTGGGAATTGAACGATAAGAACACTTGGACAAAGCGTGGGGAACATCACACACTGGGGCCTGTCATCAGGTGGGGGAAGGGGGGAGGGATAGCACTTGGAGATATACCTAATGTAAATGACGAGTTAATGGGTGCAGCCCACCAACAGGGCACATGTATACATATGTAACAAACCTGCACGTTGTGCACATGCACCCTAAAACTTAAAGTATGATAAAAAATAAAAAATAAAATAAAAACATTGGCTGTTGACTCCAAATATCCTGCTTCATCATCTCTCCACTCCAGAAACTTTTCACATGCTTACAAAGGGTGTTCATTTCTCCTCTAAGTATTTGCCCTCCAGCCCCACCTGCAAGAAGGTGGAAGTAGGGTCACTGCCTGGGATGGTAACTCTCAAATACAAGGCAACACCTGTCTCTCCTCCAATATCCCCATGACTGAAGGACTGTGAAAGTCTGCATACTGATCAAGCTTCTTCCTCCCTTATCTGAAGGGACTTACTTCCTTCAAGACACTTTTCCTCTTCCCACCTAGCTCCGTGCCCCCATCCAGTCATCTTCCAACCCATCTCCCCCATCCTCCATGCCACACAAGAGGGGCTTGGCCACAGCACCTGGAAGTTCCTTAAAATTGAATGGTGTGTAGGGCCGGGTGCGGTGGCTCATGTCAGTAACCCCAGCACTTTGGGAGGCTGAGGCAGGCAGGTCACTTGAGGTCCGGAGATCGAGACCAGCCTGGCCAACATGGTGAAACTCCATCTCTACTAAAAATATAAAAATTAGCTAGGTATGGTGGTGCATGCCTGTAGTCCCAGCTACTTGGGGGGCTGAGGCAAGGGAATCACTTGAACCGAGGAGGCAGAGGTTACAGTGAGCCGAGATTGCACCACTGCACTCCAGCCTGGGCGATGGAGTGAGACTCTGTCTCAAAAAAAAAAAAAAAAAAAAATCGAATGGTGTAATTAGCTTATGATTTTTAAAAAATGGAATGATGTATTCATTTTCTAAGCTGCATAACAAATCAACACAAATTTAGCAGCTTAAAACACCCATCTATTACCTCTCCTTTCCTGTGGGTCAGGAGTCTGGGGGTGCAGCTTTAGCTGGGTCCTCTGCTCAGGTTCTTACAAGGTTGTGATCAAGATGTTGGCTGGAATTAGTGTCTCATATGAGGCTTGGGGTCTTCTCCCAACCTCTCATGGTTGTTGGCTGAATTTATTTCCATGGAACTGTGGAACTCATGTGGCTTCTTCAAAACCAGCCGGGGATGGTGGCTCACGCCTGTAATCCCAGCACTTTCGGAGGCTGAGGTAGGTGGATCACCCGAGGTCAGGAGTTCGAGACCAGCCTGGCCAATATGGTGAAACCCCGTCTCTACTAAAAATACAAAACTTAGCCAGGCATGATGGCGCATGCCTGTAATCCCAGCTACTTGGGAGGCTAAGGCAGGAGAATCACTTGAACCCAGGAGGCAGAGGTTGCAGTAAGCCGAGATCGTGCCACTGCACTCCAGCCTGGGCAACAGAATGAGACTCCATCCCAAAAACAAACAAACAAACAAAAACCAAAAACCAGGAGGAAGGAGTCTCTCTCCTCCAGATCCTCATTGAAGATCTCACCTGAAGATGTCAGGCCCACCCTGAATAATCTCCCTTTTGATTAACTCAAAGGGAACGGATTAGGGGCTTAGTTACATCTGTAAAATCCTTTCAACTTTTCCATAGGTATAGATTAGAAGCAAGCCACGAGTCCTGCCTACACTCCAAGGGAGAGGAGATTACACCTGGGATTTATCCAGGGCAAGAACCTAAGGGGTCATCTCAGAATTCTGCCTTCCAAATAGATCCTCTGTGGAGCTCACATGCCTGGGCGAGCACCAGCCTTTGTTTAAAGGCAACAGAGAATGCTGCCCTGTCTCAGATCTTCAGCAAGCCTCCAGAATAATGGTCCAGTCTCTGAGCCCAGAGCCAACGCAGCAGGAGCTTTGGGCGCACATGGGGACTGGCTTCCCCCACTTTGAAGTGAGTCATCACATCCGTATTAGACCCTAGCTGTTGCTCAGGCAAAAATGATTTAGAAGAAGAGGGAGAGAAAAGGAGAGTTAATTTAAACGTACTTATATTTGGCCAGGCACAGTGGTTCACGCCTGTAATCCCAGCACTTTGGGAGGCTGAGGCAGGTGGATCACGAGGTCAGGAGATGGAGACCATCCTGGCTAACACGGTGAAACGCCGTCTCTTAAAAATACAAAAAATTAGCTGGGCTTGGTGGCAGGTGCCTGTAGTCCCAGCTACTCGGGAGGCTGAGGCAGGAGAATGGCGTGACCCTGGGAGGCAGAGCTTGCAGTGAGCCGAGATCTCGCCACTGCACTCCAGCCTGGGCGACAGAGTGAGACTCCATCTCAAAAAAAGAAAAAAAAGAAAGAAAATAATTATATTCATTCCCCAGGGCTGCCACAACCAAGTACCACAAGCTGGGTGACTTGAAACAAGAGAAATTGATTGTCTTCCGGCTCTGGTGGCCAGCAGTCTGAAATGGAAGTGCCAGCAGGGCCACACTACCTCCTGCACTTGTCGGGGAGTCCTGCCTTGCCTCGTCCTAGTTTCCTGCAGTCTCCTGGCAGTCTTCAGTGTTCCTTGGTTTGCAGACGCATCAGTGCAATCTTCTGTCTGATCCATGGCCTTCTTCCCTGTGTCTCCATGACTCAGCGTGTCCTCTCCTCTTTTATAAGGACACCAGTCATTGACTTAGGGCCCTCCCTACTCCAGGATGACTTCATCCTAATCAATAGCATCTGCAATAAGCCTATTTCTTTCTTTCTTTCTTTCTTTCTTTTTTTTTTTTTTGAGATGGAGTTTCACTCTTGATGCCCAGGCTGGAGTGCAATGGCGCGATCTCAGCTCAATGCAACCTCCGCTGCCTGGGTTCAAGTGATTCTCCTGCCTCAGCCTCCTGAGTAGCTGGGATTACAGGTATGCACCACCACACCCAGCTAATTTTGTATTTTTAGTAGAGACAGGGTTTCTCCATGTTGGTCAGGCTGGTCTCAAACTCCTGACCTCAGGTGATCCACCCACTTCGGCCTCCCAAAGTGTTGGGATTACAGCTGTGAGCCACCATGCCCGGCCTGCAATAAGTATTTCTAAATAAGATCACATTCTGAGCTACTAGAATTTAGGATTTCAACATCTTTTGAGGAGGACTCAATTTAACCCATAAGAATTCTGTGTGGGCCACACATGGTGCTTCACATCTCTTATCCCAGCACTTTGGGAAGTTGAAGCAGGAGGATCATTGCTCAGGCCTATGGGGACACCAGGTGCATAAGACCACAGTGTTGACTGGTGTGGGGACTCACACCTGTAAGTTTGGGAACCTAAGGCAGGGCAATCACTTGATCCCAGGAGTTTGAGGCCAGCCTGGGTGACATACTGAGATCTCATTTCTAAAAAAAAAAAAAAAAAAAATTATTTAATTAGCTGGGCATGGTGGTACCCGCCTACAGGCCCAGCTACTCAGGAGGCTGAAGCAGGAGGGTCTCTTGAGTCCAGAAGATCAAGGCTGTGGTGAGCTGTGATTGCACCACTGCACTCCAGCCTGGGCAACAGAGCAAGCCCTGTCTAAAAAAAAAAAAAAGTCATCTCCCTTGTCTTCTGATTCCCTGACCTGTCATAGAAAGGAAGTGAAGCAGTGAAAGCATCCCCCCAAAAGAGACTTTTCAAAACCAGCCCAAGCAACATAAAAAGACCTTGCCTCTAGAAAGTATTTAAATATGAAGGAAAAAAAAAAAAGCAGTACTATGGCACAGAGTTGACAGCTACAGGTGTGGCTACATCCAGGTCCTCAAACTATATCATCAGAATGACCCCTCACCCTCCCCCCACTTTCCATTTTACTTTCTTAAGCATGAACATGAAATTTCCAAGATTGTCTCTCCTTTGGCTAATCTGCTTCTCAGACCCAATCACTGTGGCCAGGGTGGTGGAGGAGGTGGAAGGATATTGACATGCAGGCTGGGACCACATGCCCCAGCCCCAGATCAGGGTGGGGAGTGGCCAGTCGCACACATGCCCTGGGGCACTAGTGACTCCTTGGTGGAAAATCGGGAACTGTCGTTAGAGAGGAGCGATGGAAGAAAGGCTGACACACTGCGATGTATCTCCTGCACCAGCCTGGGCCTCGATGTCTTGAGAATGGCGGTTTGCAGTCTGATGACCCAGTACTCAGTCCAGGGCAACCCCAACTCCATCTGTGGGGCTGCCCACAGTACATGGACCCCCTCACTGGATTTGCTGACCACACGTGCAAACAGCCATCTCCCAGCCCCACTCCCCGCAGTCCCTCTGAACCCTGTCGAAATTCCCCTCAGTTCCCACCAAGAAGAAAAGCAATTCTGAGGGTGAGTGGCTTATTCTGCTAGTTTAAATCTCTCGATTCCTTCCCTCTCCAGAACTCTGTACTTACTGCTCTGTCACTGGTAATGACAATGAACATTTTCACAGTCTCAGTTTTTATTGCAAAGTGATTGAGGACCAGTTAGAATAAGTTATGCTACAGAAACTAAAGAAATCCCGTCAAGCAAATGGTGTGTAATAGAAAGTCTTAGGGCAGCCGTGTATATTTTCTCCCCCAATGAATCAATTGAAAATGAGAGGCTCTTACCACTATGTTCCGGGCAGAAGCTATCAAAAGCGTAAGCCATGATAGTATAATTTGATCATTTTACATCCGTCAAATGGATATGGCCCAGGGGTGAAAAGTGGATGCTCTGCAACTAGATGATGGTCAAGAGTTATAAAAATGAGGTCCTCTCTGTTCAACATTTCTCCTTTCTTGAAGGAATACTCAATGTCATGCTCAGGGCCTCTAATGGCCAGAAATAAAGTTCCTCCTAGTTTCAGAGCACACCAGGGCAACC
This sequence comes from Homo sapiens, assembly GCF_000001405.40. Classification (NCBI taxonomy): domain Eukaryota; kingdom Metazoa; phylum Chordata; class Mammalia; order Primates; family Hominidae; genus Homo; species Homo sapiens. Next base: position 125,413 of record NW_021159989.1, on the reverse strand, counting down.
CCAAAACCAGAGCAACTGCTTATAGCCATGTAGACTATGTACTGTGCAATTCCTGGGGTGGCATTTTCATAAATATGTGGGTGGCGCCTGGAGGTGTGAGATGCACAACTTGCACAAATGGTAAGTCATCGTATCCCAAAGTCCACAAAGAAGAGGTAAACAAAATTCCCATCGATGTTGCCATCAGTCATGAGTCTGCCTTTTCTTCATGGGACAGTAGCAAAAACAATTTGGCCCAAATGTGCTTGGATGATCTCTAAGCTCTAAGATGGAATCAGGGTCTCTCACTTTCAGCACTATTGACATTTGGGGCTGGATCATTATTTTGTCTTAGTGGGAGTTGTCCAGGGCATTGTAGGATGTTTAGCAGCATCCCTGGCCTCTACTCATTAGCTGCCAGTAGCACCACCTCCTCCAGCTGCAACAACCAAAACTGTCTCCAGACATAGGCACATGTTCTCTGGGGGGGCAAAATTACCCCCTGGTTGAGAAGCCCTGAAGTAAAGACATAATACGCAGATCACATGTAAGTAAGAGAGCCTAAGGGCCACACTGGTGATGCTGTACCCATGACAAAGACAGAGTCTTAAAGAGGTTAGAGAGGTGGAGAAAGAGAAAGGAAATGAAGTCCCAGCTGTCGAGAGCAACAGTTGCTGACTAGATGATGTTGATAGTCATCTTAAACTGAGTTAAAAGATGCTGAGAAGCCATCAGCTGCCATCATGCTCTCCAGGGACAACACTGCTGAAAAAGGCCTGGAGATCAACAAAGCGCCAAACACAGGTGCACTGAGCAAAGAAACCAGAGATTGAGACAAAAAAGACATTCCCTCAAAGACTACTCATTTCCAAGAGGTGAGAAAAAGTGGAGTCATGAAAAACAGTTGAGGCTTGGTAGAGTGACTCACACCTGTAATCCCAGCACTTTGGGATTACTCCCATGCTAAAACGGGAAGATTGCTTGAGCTCAGGAGTTCAAGACCAGCCTGGGCAACATAGCAAGACCTTGCCTTTAGAAAAAGGGAAAAAATTAGCCTGGTGTGGTGATACATGCCTGTGGTCTCAGCTACTCAGAAGGCTGAGGTGGGAGGATTGCTTGAACCCAAGAGGTAGAGGCTGCAGTGAGCCGGGATCACACCACTGCACTCCAGCCTGGGCTACAGAGTGAGATCTTGTCTCAACAAAGAAAAAAATTAAACAAAATTAAGGCCGGGCACTATGGCTAATGCCTGTAATCCCAGCACTTTAGGAGGCCAAGGTGGGCAGATCACGAGGTCAGGAGATCAAGATCATCCTAACACAGTGAAACCCCATCTGTACTAAAAATACAAACAATTAGCCGGACATGGTGGTGGGTGCCTTCAGTCCCAGCTACTCTGGAGGCTGAGGCAGAAGAATGGAGTGAACTCGGGAGGTGGAGCTTGCAGTGAGCCAAGATCATGCCACTGCACTCCAGCCTGGGCAAAAGAGCAAGACTCCATCTCGAAAGAAAAAAAAGAAAATTAAAAATTTTTTTGAGACCAAGTCTCACTCTGTCGCCCAGGCTGGAGTGTAATGGTGCGATCTCGGCTCACTGCAACCTCCGCCTCCTGGGTTCAAGTGATTCTCATGCCTCAACCTCGTGCCTCAACATGACTACAGGCATGTTGTCACCATGCCTGGCTAATTTTTGCATTTTTAGTAAAGATGGGTTTTCGCCATGTTGTCCAGGATGGTCTTGAACTCCTAGGTTCAAGCAATCTACCCACCTCAGCCTCCCAAAATGCTGAGATTACAGGCATGAGCCACCGTGCCTGACCTCTAACTTTTCATTATGGAAATTTCCCATGTGCACAAAAAGCAGGGAGAGAATTACACCATGAACCCCCATGCACCCATCATCCCACTGCAAGAACTTGTCAACATTTCACCAATCTCATTCCAGTTCCTGCTTTTATTTTCCTTCTTGCTATTTTACAATATTTTAAAGCAAATTCCAGACATTTCATTTCACTCACATCCATAACACACCAGGGTGCATTCTTGATGTAAGGATTTTGTTTTGTTTTATAACCCCCATGCCATTGCCACAGTTAATAGATTTAACATGAAGAAACTAAGATTCTTGCAGGTGGAGAAAAGATCTAATTACCACCTTAAAGCCTCTCCTACCAGCGCTTCTCAGATCTGAACGTTTACGTAAATCACCCAGGCATCTTGTTAAAATGCAGATTCTGGCCCAGGAGGTCCTCCCAGGTGAGCCCTGAGAGTCTTCAATTCCAAAAACTCACAGGTGACACAATGCTGCTGGTCCACGAATCACACAAGAGGAGGGGTCGGCCAAACACCCACAACAACTGGGTGCAAAGTCCTGACTGTTCCTGACTGCAGGGCCTTCAGTGAACGGGGAAACTGGGGACCATTTGGGAAAGAAGGGAGGTTTTCCATATCAGCTCCAGGCCCTGTAGAACTGCCAGGGCATAACAGACACAAGATCAGCAAAGTCCAACCAACAGCATGAGTGCATTCATATTCCACAACCACTGCAGCAAAGAACTATGAAATGGGTGGCTTCAAACAATGTCTGGGCCTGGTGCCGTGGCTCACACCTAAATAATCTCAGCATTTTGGGAGGCTGAGGTGGGTGGATCACTTGAGGCCAGGAATTCAAGACCAGCCTGGCCAATATGGCAAAACATCATCTCTACTAAAAATACAAAAATTAGCCATGCATGGTGGCAGGCACCTGTAGCCCAGCTACTTGGGAGGCTGAGGCAAGAGAATGGCTTGAGCCTGGGAGGTGGAGGTTGCAGTGAACCGAGATCGTGCAACTGCACTCCAGACTGGGCAACAGAGCAAGGCTCTGTCTAAAAAAAAAAGGAAAAAGGAAAGTCTGGAGGCCAGAAGTCCAAAATCAATCAAATGTCAGCAGGACCATGCTCCTTCAGAGGTTCTAGGGGAGAATCCATTCCTTGCCTCTTCCAGCTTGTAGAGGCTACTAGAATTCCTCAACTTGTGGCTGCATGATCCAATCTCTGCCTCTGTGATCACCTTGCCTCCTCCTCTTCTCCTCTTCTGTCTGGGTCTCCTCCTCTGGAGGAAGAGTGTCAGGCCTCTGAGCCCAAGCTAAGCCATCGTATCCCCTGTGACCTGCACGTACACATCCAGATGGCCAGTTCCTGCCTTAACTGATGACATTATCTTGTGAAATACCTTCTCCTGACTCATCCTGGCTCAAAAGCTCCCCTACTGAGCACCTTGTGACCCCCACTCCTGCCTGCCAGAGAACAACCCCCCTTTTTCCTTTACCTACCCAAATCCTATAAAATGGCCCCACCCCTATCTCCCTTCGCTCACACTTTTCGGACTCAGCCCACCTGCACCCAGGTGAAATATACAGCTTTATTGCTCACACAAAGCCTGTTTGGTGGTCTCTTCGCACGGACCCATGTGAAATTTGGTGCCGTGACTCGGATCGGGGGACCTCCCTTGGGAGATCCATCCCCTGTCCTCCTGCTCTTTGCTCTGAGAGAAAGATCCAGCTACAACCTCAGGTCCTCAGGCTGACCAGCCCAAGAAACATCTCACCAATTTCAAATCCAGTAAGTGACTTCTTTTTACTCTCTTCTCCAACCTCCTTCACTATCCCTCAACCTCTTTATCCTTTCAATCTTGGCACCACACTTCAATCTCTCCCTTCTCTTAATTTCAATTCCTTTCATTTTCTGGTAGAGACAAAGGAGACACGTTTTATCCATGGACCCACAACTCCAGCGCCTGTCACGGACTTGGGAAGACACCCTTTCCTTGGTGTTTAATCATTGCAGGGATGCCTCTCTGATTATTCACCCAGGTTTCAGAGGTGTCAGACCACGCAGGGACGCCTGCCTTGGTCCTTCACCCTTAGTGGCAAGTCCCGCTTTTCTGGGGGAAGGGGCAAGAACCCCTCAACCCCTTCTCCTTCACCCTTAGCAGCAAGTCCTGTTTTTCTGGGGGAGGGGCAGGAACCCTCTCTTATCTCTGTGCCCCGATCCCTTATTTCCATGCCCCAACCTCTTATCTCTGTGACCCAATCCCTTATTTCTGTGACCTGACCTCTTATCTCTGCACCCCAACCCCTTATTTCTGTGCCCTGACCTCTTAGCTCTGTATCACAACCCTTTATTTCTGCACCCCAACCCCTTTCCTGCTTTTCTGGAAGGCAAGAACCCCCCACCCCTTCTCTCTGTGTCTCTACTCTCTCTTTTCTCTAGGCTTGCCGCCTTCACTATGGGTAAGCTTCTGCCCACCATTCCCCCTTCTTCTCCCTTAGCCTGTGTTCTTAAAAACCTAAAACCTCTTCAACTCACACCTGACCTAAAACCTAAATGCCTTATTTTCTTCCACAATGCTGCTTGACCCCAATACAAACTTGACAGTAGTTCCAAATAGCCAGAAAATGGCACTTTCAATTTTTCCATCCTACATGATCTAGATAATTCTTGTCATAAAATGGGCAAACGGTCTGAGGTGACTGACGTCCAGGCATTCTTTTACACATTGGTCCCTCCCTAGTCTGTTCCCAGTGCAACTCATCCCAAATCTTCCTTCTTTCCCTCCCAGCTGCCCCCTCAATCCCAACCCCAAGCATCACTGAGTCTTTCTAATCTTCCTTTTCTACAGAAAAATCTGACCTCTCCCCTCCTCACCAGGCCAAGCTAGGCCCCAATTCTTCCTCAGCCTCTGCTCCTCCACCCTATAATACTTTTGTCACCTCCCCTCCTCACACCGCGTCCGGCTTACAGTTTTGTTCCATGACTAGCCCTCCCCGACCTGCCCAGCAATTTACTCTTAAAAAGGTGGCTGAAGCTAAAGGCATAGTCAAGGTTAATGCTCCTTTTTCTTTATCCCAAATCAGATAGAGTTTAGGCTCCTTTTCATCAAATATAAAAATCCAGCCTAGTTCATGGCTCATTTGGCAGCAACCCTGAGATGCTTTACAGCCCTATACCCTAAAAGGTCAAAAGGATGTCTTATTCTCAATATACATTGTATTACCCAATCTGCTCCCGACATTAAATAAAACTCTGAAAATTAAATTATGGCCCTCAAACCCCACAACAGGACTTAATTAACCTCACCTTCAAGGTGTACAATAATAGAGTAGAGGCAACCAAGTAGCAACATATTTCTGAGTTGTAATTCCTTGCCTCCACTGTGAGACAAACCCCAGCCACATCTCCAGCACACAAGAACTTCCAAACGCCTAAAGCACAGTGGCCAGGTGTTCCTACAGAACCACCTCCCCCAGGAGCTTGCTACAAGTGCCAGAAATCTGGCCACCAGGCCAAGGAATGCCCACAACCCGGGATTCCTCCTAAGCCATGTCCCATCTGTGTGGGACCCCACTAGAAATTGGACTGTTCAACTCACCTGGCAGCCACTCCCAGAGCCCCTGGAACTCTGGCCCAAGGCTCTCTGACTGACTCCTTCCCAGATCTTCTTGGCTTAGCAGCTGAAGACTGACACTGCCTGATCAATCACTTTGGAAGCCTACAGGACCATCACAGATGCTCTAGGTAATTCTCACAGTGGAGGGTAAGTCCATCCCCTTTTTAATCAATACAGAGGCTACCCATGCCACATTACCTTCTTTTCAAGTGCCTGTTTCCCTTGCCTCCATAACTGTTGTGGGTGTTGACAGCCAGGCTCCTAAACCTCTTAAAACTCCCCAACTCTGATGCCAACTTAGACAATACTCTTTTAAGCACTCCTTTTTAGTTATCCCCACCTGCCCAGTTCCCTTATTAGGCTGAGGCACTTTAACTAAATTATCTGCTTCCCTGACTATTCCTGGACTATAGCTACAACTCATTGCTACCCACCTTAACCCACAAGTATAAGATACCTCTACTCCCTCCTTGGCGACCGATCATGCACCCCTTGCCATCTCATTAAAACCTAATCCCCCTTACCCCGCTCAATGTCAATATCCCATCCCACAGCATGCTTTGAAAGGATTAAAGCCTGTTATCACTCGCCTGCTACAGCATGGCCTTTTAAAGCCTATAAACTCTCCTTACAATTCCCCCATTTTACCTGTCCTAAAACCAGACAAGCCTTACAAGTTAGTTCAGGATCTATGCCTTATCAACAAAATTGTTTTGCCTATCTACCCCATGGTGCCAAACGCATATACTCTCCTATCCTCAATTCCTCCCTCCACAACTCATTATTCTGTTCTGGATCTCAAACATGCTTTCTTTACTATTCCTTTGCACCCTTCATCCCAGTCTCTCCTTGTTTTCACTTGGACTGACCCTGACACCAATCAAGCTCAGCAAATTACCTGGGCTGCACTGCCACAAAACTTCACGGACAGTCCCTATGACTTCAGTCAAGCCCAAATTTCTTCCTTGTCTGTTACCTATCTCAGCATAATTCTCATAAAAACACACGTGCTCTCCCTGCCGATCGTGTCCGACTAATCTCTCAAACCCCAACCCCAGCTACAAAACAACAACTCCTTTCCTTCCTGGGCATGGTTGGATACTTTTGCCTTTAGATACTTGGTTTTGCCATCCTAACAAAACCATTATATAAACTCAAATAAGGAAACCTAGCTGACCCCATAGATCCTAAATCCTTTCCCCACTCCTCTTTCTGTTCCTTGAAGACAGCTTTAAAGGCTGCCCCCACCCTAGCTCTCCCTGACTCATCCCAACCCTTTTCACTACACACAGCCAAAGTGCAGCGCTGTGTAGTCGAAATTCTTACACAAGGACCAGGATTGCATCCTGTAGCCTCTTTGTCCAAACAACTTGACCTTACTGTTTTAGGCTGGCCATTATGTCTCCATGCAGTGGCTCTTGCTGCCCTAATACTTTTAGAGGACCTTAAAATCACAAACTATGCTCAACTCACTCTCTACAGCTCTCATAATTTCCAAAATCTATTTTCTTCCTTACAGATGACACATATACTTTCTGCTCCCCGGCTCCTTCAGCTGTACTAACTCTTTGTTGAGTCTCCCACAATTACCACTGTTCATGGCCCAGACTTCAATCCGGCCTCCCACATTATTCCTGATACCACACTTGACCCTCGTGACTGTATCTCTCTGATCCACCTGATGTTCACCCCATTTCCCCACATTTCCTTCTTTCCTGTTTCTCACCCTGATCACACTTATTGATGGCAGTTCCACCAGGCCTAATCGCCACACACCAGCAAAGGCAGGCTATCCTATAGTACAAGCCACTAGCCCGCCTCTTAGAACCGCTCATTTCCTTTCCAGTGTGGAAATCTATCCACAAAGAAATAACTTCTCAGTGTTCCATCTGCTATTCTCTACTCCTCGGGGATTCTTCAGGCCCCCTCCCTTCCCTACACATCAAGCTCAGGGATTTGCCCCCACCCAGGACTGGCAAATTAGCTTTACTCAACGTGCCCTGAGTCAGGAAACTAAAATACCTCTTGGTCTAGGTAGACACTTTCACCGGATAGGTAGAGGCATTTCCCACAGGGTCTAAGAAGGCCACCACGGTCATTTCTTCCCTTCTGTCAGACATAATTCCTCAGTTTGGCCTTCCCACCTCTATACAGTCCAATAGTAGACCGGCCTTTATTAATCAAGTCAGCCAAGCATTTTTTCAGGCTCTTAGTATTCAGTGAAACCTTTATATCCCTTACAGTCCTCAGTCTTCAGGAAAGGTAGAACAGACTAATGGTCTTTTAAAAACACACCTCACCAAGCTCAGCCACCAACTTAAAAAGGACTGGACAATACTTTTACCACTTTCCCTTCTCAGAATTCAGGCCTGTCCTTGGAATGCTACAAGGTACAGCCCATTTGAGCTCCTGTATAGATGCTCCTTTTTATTAAGCCCCAGTCTCATTCCAGACACCAGAGCAACTTGGACTGTGCCCCAAAAAAACTTGTCATCCCTACTATCTTCTCTCTAGTCACACTTTTATTCACCGTTCTCAACTACTCATACATGCCCTGCTCTTGTTTACACTGCTGATTTACACTGTTTCTCCAAGCCATCACAGCTGATATCTCCTGATGCTATCCCCAAACCGCCACTCTTAACTCTTAAATAAATAATCTTTGCTGGCAAGGCTATGCTGAACCTCCTTAGACACTCTCTAATTAGATGTCCTAGGTCCTCCCAATTCTTAGTCCTTTAATACCTGTTTTTCTCCTTCTCTTATTCTGTTTAGTTTTTCAATTCATACAAAACTGTATCCAAGCCATCATCAATAATTCTAAATGACAAATGTTTCCTCTAACAACCCCACAATATCACCTATTACCACAAAATCTTCCTTCAGCTTAATCTCTCCCACTCTAGGTTCCCACGCTGCCCCTAATCCCACTCAAAGCAGCCCTGAGAAACATCGCCCATTATCTCTCCATACCATCCCCAAAAATTTTCGCCGTCCCAACACTTTACCACTATTTCATTTTATTTTTCTTATTAATATAAGAAGACAGGAACATCAGGCCTCTGAGCCCAAGCTAAGCCATCATATCCCCTGTGACCTGCACGTACACATCCAGATGGCCAGTTCCTGCCTTAACTGATGACATTCCACCACAAAATAAATGAAAATGGCCTGTTCCTGCCTTAACTGATGACATTATCTTGTGAAATTCCTTCTCCTGGCTCATCCTGGCTCAGAAGCTCCCCTACTGAGCACCTTGTGACCCCCACTCCTGCCTGCCAGAGAACAACCCCTTTTTCCTTTACCTACCCAAATCCTATAAAAACAGCCCCACCCCTATCTCCCTTCACTGACTCTGTATTTGGACTCAGCCTGCCTGCACCCTGGTGAAATAAACAGCTTTATTGCTCACACAAAGTCTGTTTGGTGGTCTCTTCACTTGGATGCACGTGAAAAACAGTGTCCTTTTTTTTTTTTTTTTTTTGAGATGGAGTTTCACTCTTGTTGCCCAGGCTGGAGTGCAATGGCATGACCTCAGCTCACTGCTACCTCCTCCTCCTGGGTTAAAGCAACTCTCCTGCCTCAGCCTCCCCAGTAGCTGGGATTGCAGGTATGCACCACCATGCCCGGCTAATTTTTTATTTTTAGTAGAGATGGGGTTTCTCCATGTTGGTCAGGCTGGTCTCGAAGTCCTGACCTCAGGTGATCCACCCACCTCAGCCTACCAAAGTGCTGGGATTACAGGCATGAGCCACTGCGCCTGGACAAAAGTGTCCTCTTATAAGGACACTTGTCTTTAGATGTACAGCCTACCGAAAATACTCCAGGATAATCTCAAGATCCTTAACTTAATTACATCTGCAAAGACCCTTTTTCCAAATAATGCCACCTCCACAGATTCTAGGCACAAGGATCTGGATATATCTTGTGTAAAGCCACCATTCAGCTCACTACACTAGAAAGAGGAAAAACAACAACGATGTAACAAGAGGCGCAGAAGAAAGAACAGATGCAGCTTGTGTGGCAGTGGCCATCAAGGCAGGCTGGGGTAAAACTGTGTCAACAGAAGCCCCAGATGGAACTCAAGTGCGGCCGTCGGCTCCCAGCTACTCACAGAGAACGTTTCTGTTTCTGACAGCAGAGTAAGAGAAGAGGTGAGAAGAGAGACAGCCCATTCTCTTTTGGCCTAATTCCTAAGGAATCATGCCTCTGCCTTCGGGCCATTCTCAAGTCTTGTTCAAGGATAAAATGATTTATTGATGGCCGTAATTAAAAAGCAATGCCAACGGAAGCAGCGTCAGCATTTTTCATTTGTACTTATACATGAGCGAGAGCAGTTTAGGGAAACGGGTGTCTTCAGGTTGTGTTTTCTCCATCTAGAAAAGGGCTGCCTTCATGGAATGCTGGTCCTGGGGAGAAGCCTCATTTCTATAGCAGGAATTGATACAGTTTTAAATTCTGATTGGTACACGGAGCTACCCATCCTCATTTCAAGCACTTCTGGTTTGTTCTGGGTTTAGTGGGTGAGCAATGAGTAGAATTCTGGGGAGAAGGATTTGGGGCGAGCGTGGTTTTGATACCCAGAGAGAGCTGCTTTTCCATCAGTGTCTTGACTGCGATTCAGAATGGGCTTCTCCGCTCAAGATGGCAGTACTGAGCTGATTTAAGGCGGGTGATTGACTTATTTTGGTGGCTATTTTTATACTAGCTGGTTAACGAGCTATTTTCTTCATTAGTTTCAGGCATGTGAGCTTAATGAAGCATTGGACCTCCCAAATTACAAGGAAAATAAAGATATAGCTTATATGGTAGGTTCGAAGGAGTTAGTGAACAAACACAGCAGGGCCACAAATTATTGTTAAAGACATGAATGCATGAAAGTGTATATATATCCAAATGGACTCTCTGCAACCATACTGTTCCACCTGAAAATTAGTAGATCGAAATTCAGCAAATGCTTGGACAGAGGATACTCTCAGAAGTATTCTGACTAAATAGCTTGGTTTCTTTTCATATCACTAAAGTAATTTCTTCCCAGATTGACTCTGGACTAAATCTTATGATACCTACTTGTTCTGATTGTACTTAGCCACCTGCAAATAAGGTGGGGGTAGTGGTAAGAGGAGCTGTTGAATGAAATTAAACATTTGTTGGATGCCTACTGAGGATAAAGCCCTGTGCTTTGTGCCAGGAAGATTCCAGAATAAATGAGGCACAGGCCTACTCTCAGGAAGCTTTTGCAAACTAATGGAGAAAACACATTTGCAGGCAATGACTTATGGTATAAGAGGAAATGGGGCCAGGTACAGTGACTCACACCTGTAATCCCAGCACTTTGGGAGGCCAAGGTAGGTGGATCACTTGAGGTCAGGAGTTCAAGACCAGCCTGGCCAACATGGTAAAACCCTGTCTCTACTAAAAATACAAAAAAAAAAAAAAAAAAAAAAAAATGAGCCAGGCTTCATGGTGTGCACCCGCAATCCCAGCTACTTGGGAGGCTGAGGCACAAGAATTGCTTAAACCTGGGAGGTGGAGACTGTAGTGAGCTGAGATCCCACCGCTGCACTCCAGCCTAGGAAACAGAGTGAGACTCTGTCAAAAAAAAAAAATAAAAAATAAAAAATACGATTGATGTTGAATGGGAAATCTAAGCAGGATGGAATGGCAGGAGAGGGCCCACTTGCTCAGCTCCAATAACAATTTTGACAGCCATGACAATATTGCAGGGATGCCCATTCCTCATGGTATCTGAAGCCCCATGAAGGCTTGTGTCTGGAGGTTGGTTCAGTCTTGACTTTAAGATCAGGGGATACAAGGAATGATTTTCATCTATCCCAAGCCAATAGTCCAGCCAAAAATCTAGGTCTGAGATGATGAGAAAAAGCAATCATGAACCATGTCAGCCATTTCATCATCATCATCATCATCATTATCAAAAACAAAAGACAGACCTGTAACCGTCTTGTGTTCCCGGCTCTTTTCTTAGTTCAAAATATAGAAGTAAATTCTATGGCCAGTGAACAATAACCAAAATAGCTCTCATCACTCTTGTCTGCCACCATGTAAGATGTGCCTTTTGCCTTCTACCATGATTTTAAGGCTTCTTCAGCCAAATGGAACTGTGAGCCCATTAAACCTCTTTTTCTTTATAAATTACCCAGTCTTGAGTAATAAAATAGTGGTTTGCCCACAACATCAATGAACGATGCTGTCACTTGGTCCAAACGCGTGCCGTTTAAGAGGTTTGGATAAACAACAACCTAAAATAAATAATCACTAAGCAAACTCAGGGCTACATAATCCCTGTGGTGAGGTAACTGACAATGGGTATAACTGGGACAGTTTACTGTTAAATCACAGCTATCTACATGTGCCCAAGCAGTGAGATACTTGGTTTTAATCCTAAAAAATCATGGTGCGCATTTACCCCTGCCTTCCAACTGGGCTCTAACGTCACCTCCTCAGAGAAGCCCTCTTTTCTGTGCTTCCACTCTGCTTTTTTTCAGCATTTAGTAGAGCATCAGTCACCATCCATATCTGGGAACAATGATTGTAAGAAACAGAAACCCATTTGCATGAGCTGGAGGGAAAGGAGCACACCTTATCTCTAACAGGAAAACTCATGGGCACGAGAAACAAATGAGAGGCCATGAGAGAATGGAAACTGCAGTTACAGAAACCAAAATGCCTCTTTCTGGCTCTCAGAAGCCCATGGTCTCTTTTTTCTTTTTTTTTTTCTTTTTTTGAGACGCAGTCTTGCTCTGTCGCCCAGGCTGGAGTGTAGTCGTGCGATCTCAGCTTACTGCAAGCTCCACCTCCCGGGGTTCACGCCATTCTCCCACCTCAGCCTCCCAATTAGCTGGGACTACAGGCACCCGCCACCATACCTGGCTAATTTTTTGTATTTTTAGTAGAGATGGGATTTCACCATGTGAGCCAGGATGGTCTCGATCTCCTGACTTCGTGATCCACCCGTCTTGGCCTCCCAAAGTGCTGGGATTACAGGCGTGAGCCACCACGTCCGGCAGCCCATGGTCTTTCTTATCAGCCCTGTGGACTTTCTTATCTCTGCTTCTCTCACTCACAAACAATTTTCCCCCTTTTCTGGTGGCCCATCATGGCAGCCAGCAGAGCCCACCACCAGCTGATCAGTCAGTTACTGGATATCTTGGAGAGGGAGGGAGGGAGAGAGGGAGAGGGAGAGGGAGAGGGAGAGGGAGAGAGAGAGAGAGAGAGAGAGAGAGAGAGAGAGAGAGAGAGAGAGAATGACAATTGTGCTTCTGGCCAACCAATTGAGTATAGGGAGGGGAAGTACCATGGTACAAATATGGCGCCAAGACCTGCTTTCTAGCATGGCCAATGAGTAGGGAAATTGAGGGAAGGTACATGCAAACACAACAGACATCTCAGAACATGCTCTCTGTTCTTAGTTCTCTCTCCTGCCTTCTCCTAGATTGTAAATATCACAAGACAATCTAGAATAACACCTGGCTCAAAATATTTGAGAAAGAGAAAAAGGAAGGGATTGGATCAAACTCTAGACTTCATGGTTTCCTAAATTCACTCTGCAAGTTTTTGGGATTTTTGTTTTTTGGGACAGAGTCTCACTCTGCTGCCCAGGCTGGAGTGCAATGGCATAATCTTGGCTCACTGCAACCTCCACCTCCCAGGTTCAAGCAAATCCCCTACCTCAGCCTCCTGAGTAGCTGGGATTACAGACACGCACTGCTACACCAGTTAAGTTTTGTATTTTTAGTAGCGATGGGGTTTCACCATGTTGGCCAGGCTGGTCTTGAACTCTTGACCTCGTGATCCACCCACCTCTGCCTCCCAAAGTGCTGGGATTACAGGTGTGAGCCACCATGCCTGGCTGACTCTGCAAGTATTTAAGTGAATGAATGTCAGACCCTGAGAATCAGAAGAAAGGCATTAAATCTCCATTAGGTTTAGTCATGGTCAGCAGCTGTGGGGTGTCCTGGGTTTGGGATCAGTGGGATGAGGAACAAGCAGGTTCTCCAAACCACCACGCAGGGACGGGAGGTGTTAACTAGGCCAAAGATAATGGGCGGGGTACGTGCCTGGGTTTCAAACAGCTTACACCAGGCTTAAAAACCGACGCTGAAGCAGAAACTGTATTAAGCAAATTGATGACACAATGGAGGGGGTCAAAAAGTTTAATATTGCTAAGAATACAAATATTGATCATGCAATATGATATTGTTTCACACCATCTCCTGCTACACGCCAGGCTTCCTTTACCATGAGATAGAAGAGATTTGTGGATCTGACCTAACCCTCCAAATAGTAAGGTCCCTGAGAGTGGGCTCATGACATTCATGTTTTATAAATGTGGCATAAAGTCTCATGCTGGCTGCCATGTGGCCCAATCCCAGTTCGATGCTGCATTCATAGAACCATCATTCCAGCATGCAAGCATACTTAAAAGCAATTGAAATGTTTATTGCCATCCCTCAAGACAAACACCAAAGAAATATTATTTTCAAAATGCATAGCAACACTTCTTAAAATCGTATTTTCCCATCTCTTTCTCTCTCTCTACCACATTCCCAGGAGTTTCCCAGGAGCAAAACTGTCATAAAGACCCAGGAGCAAAATGATTAATGACTTCACTATATCTGATTCTGATTTAGTTGGTTTAGAGTGGTGTCCGCGCATATGTATTTTTTAATATCTTGCTGGGCACAGTGGCACACACCTGTAGTCTCAGCTACTCGGGATACTGAGGCAGAAGAATCACTTGAGCCCAGGAGTTTGAGTCCAGCCTGGGCAATATAGCAAGACCCTGTCTCTGAAAAAAAAAAAAAAGCAAAAACAAATCTCTCTCAGCTGCAGTCAGGTTTGATAACTAGTTGATCAAATAATTGTGGTAGCCAGCCTTTGCAATGGACCTTAATATTCCCACCTCCTGGTGTTATTCACTGTGGAATCTGTCTTAGCTAGTCCTCAATTGGGTCTGGTATCCAGGTCCCACCTTGAGAGGCTAGTTCCACCTCCTATCCCACACATGGTTTTACGCTTACTTTCAAGACTGGCCTAAAAATGTAAAATGTACTTGTTTTGACCTTGTTTCCAATGAGACAACTATTCTAAACACTCATTTAGGATGGTTTGGTAAATTTGAACACCGGCTAAATATTGAAGATGTTTGCTTCAAAATAACCCAGCTTGGTAATGAGATGATGGCGGCTGAGGCTGGCGATAGGCACAGAGGGCTTCATTATCAAATAGAAACAAGTGGAAAAAACAGAATCTTTTCCATAATAAAAATGTAAGGTAAACACAAAAACGTATTGAGTGCATAAAAAGAATCTATGGTCTCACAGACATTAGCTTATAATTTGAACATCAAAAATAAAAGTAACGGCCAAGTGCAGTGGCTGATGCCTGTAATCCTAGCACTTTGGGAGACCGAGGTGGATGGATCACTTGAGCCCGGGAATTTGAGACCAGCCTGAGCAACATAGTGAGACCCCCATCTCTAAAATAAATAAATATAAATAAAAGTGACTAGAATTGATTATAGAACATCAACTCTATTTGAGTCTATAAAGATTACTGGTGGAGAGGGGCAATGAGGAGAAGGAGAAAGAGAATATATATGTGACCTAGATTATTTTCCTTAGTTTTGAGAGAATCTTTGGGTCTCCTGGGTCTTCTAGCCCAGTATTTATTTTTATTTTATTTATTTATTTATTTATTTTTTTAGATGGAGTCTCACTCTGTCACCAGACTGGAGTGCAGTGGTGCGATCTCTGGCCACTGCAACTTCTGCCTCCCAGGTTCAATCGATTCTCCTGTCCCCATGTAGCTGGGACTACAGGTACCTGCCACTGCACCAGGCTAATTTTTGTATCTTTTGTAGAGATGGTGTTTCACCATGTTGGTCCAGGCTGGTCTCCAACTCCTGACCTCAAGTGACCCACCCACCTTGGCCTCCCAAAATACAAGGATTACAGGCATAAGCCACCACCTCCTGCCTATTTTCCTTAGTTTTCAAAGAACCTTTAGGTCCCCTGGGTGTTCTAGCCCAGTATATCTCAAACTTTGCTGCACTGAGGACCTTGTTGAAATGCAGGTTCTCATCTGGGAGGCTCAGTGGGCCAGCAAATCTGCACTGGTTTAGGAAGCTCACCCTGAGTAGCAAGCCTCAGTGAGGACCAGGCAGACCCCTGCCTGCCAACTCCCTCTCAGCTGGGCTTAACTCTGGCTTTCTCCCGCCAGGGTTCCTCCCCTCAAAATAAGAGCTATTTTCAAAAAGTCTCTTGGAAAAAAGTCCCTGTTTTAAAATTGGGGTGTTTACCACGGTGTTTTAAGACCTTTGCCCAGACCCCCCGCAACCAACTTAGAACTGACATTTTTACTTTTGAAGGCACCACTCCACACCATATTAAATTCATTAAAATCAACCCCCATTACAGGAATATCTCAGGCATCATGCCCTCAGAACGGAGTTGCACCTGACCACTTGACAATGTTGCAAAGCATTAAACATGCATTCATTTCAGCCTTGCAGTTTTCACATTTAGGAGCCAATTGTCTTAGGTCTAAAGCATTCATGTCCAAGCATTGTTATGGGCCCCAGACACTATGCTTCCCAGCCTTCATGGCCTCTGCAATACTGGTTCCTACCGCCCCACCCCTGGGTTCTGGCCGGCTAGCCCACACCACCTCACTGCTCCCCAATTCAAGTGTGCCTTACATGTGTGGTTTCCAAACTCATCTACACTTTAGGGTCACATGGGATTTTCTAAGTGTTCCAAAACCCAGGCAACACCCCACCCCAGAATAATTAAACCTCAACCTCTGGAATGGGACATAGCATCTGTTTTTTGTTTTTTGTTCTGTTTGGTTTTTGAGACAGAGCCTCACTCTGCTACCCAGGCTGGAGTGCAGTGGCACAATCATAGCTCACTACAGCCTCCAACTCCTGGGCTCAAGCAACCCTCCCACTTCAACCTCCAGGGTAGCTGGGATCACAGGTGGGCACCACTAAGCCTGGCTAATTTTTTAATTTTTTACAGAGACAGTATCTCTCTATGTTCTCCAGGCTGGTCTCAAACTCCTGGGCTCAAGTGATCCTGCCCCCTCAGCCTCCCAAATTGCTGGGATCACAGGTGTGAGCCACCATGACTGGCCATCAGCATCTGTATTTTTTGAAGCACAGACGAGTTTGGGAACTACTGCCCTAGCCTGAGCTCAGTTTCCTAGCCCTGTCTGATGGTAGGATTCTGCTGGGCTGCTTCTGAAAACAGAGCTCCCCAGGCTCCTTCCCAGGTAATTCTGATTCATTAGGTCTGGGGTGGGCCCTGGAATGTGTATTTTTTACCAGGTCCCTCTGGGTGAATCAGGCTAAAGCCAGTTTGGGATCTGAGACCTTGGCGCTCATTCCCCAGCTTCCCTCCTAACCCAGTTCCCAGCTTGGCCCACCTCACCCAGGCTGTGTCACATCTGACTTCGCAGATTACACCTGAGAGAGAAACCCCAGCCATCACGATGTGAGAACATGTTACAATGACCAGAAAATGTCAAATACATTTTAAAACTCATTCAGTATTAGCGTTCACCTTAAACTTGACAGACTCTGAGAACGGGCTGGCCACGTGCTGTGCACAACCCTTAGTGCTCTTCTGCGACTAATATTTGGGTAATTGATTGTTGGAAGCTCAGGAAGCCTCTCTCTCTCTCTGCGAGGGGTTGAAGTTAACTTCCTTATTTCTGAAGTAGGGAAGAAAATGAGGATGCCCTGCCTTTTGCTAGACTGAATACTGTCCTCCAAAAATTCACATTCACCAGGAATCCCAGAATGTGACCTTATTAGAAAATAGGGATGGGGCATGGTGGCTCATGCCTGTAATCTTAGCATTTTGGGAGGCTGAGGCAGAAGGATCACTTGAGGTCAGGAGTTCGAGACCAGCCTGGCTAGCATGGCCAAACCCTGTCTCTACTAAAAACACAAAAATTAGCTAGGCATGGTGGCATGCACCTGTAATCCCAGCTACTTCAGAGGCTGAGGCTGAAGAATCACTTGAACCCAGGAGGCAGAGTTGCAGCAAGCTGAGACTGTGCCACTGAACTCCAGCCTGGGCAACAGAGCAAGACTCCATCTCAGAAAAAGAAAAGAATATAGGGTCACTGCAGATTTAATTACAAAGAGGTCATACTGGAATAGTGTGGACCTTAAATGGAGTAATAATGGCTTCCTCATGGGAAGAGAAGAAGAGACAGAGACACACAGGGGAGAAGGCCACATGAGAATGAAGGAAGAGAATGGAATGATGTGGCCACAAGCCAAGGATTTCCAGCAACCACCAGAAGCCAGAAGAGGCGAGGAAGGATTCATCCCTGGAGACTTCAGAGGGAGCACAGCCCTGCCCATTTCAGACATCAAGCTTCCAGAACTGGAGAGAATGACTTTCTGTTGTCCTGAGCCACCCATTTGGGGAACTTTGTTAGAACAGCCACAGCCAGCTCATGTGCTCCTGAATGTGTTTCAGGCATTAATAAGTACTGTCTTGGCTGGGCAGGGTGGCTCACCCCTGTAATCCCAGCAACTTGGTAGGCTGAGGTGGGTAGATCACCTGAGGTCAGGAGCTCAAGATCAGCCTGACCAACATAGAGAGACCCCATCTCTACTAAAAATACAAAAATTAGCTGGGCGTGGTGTTGTGCACCTGTAATCCCAGCTACTTGGGAGGCTGAGGCAAAAGAATCACTTGAACCCTGGAGGCAGAAGTTGCAGTGAGCTGAGATTGCACCATTGCACTCCAGCCTGGGCAACAAGAGCGAAACTCCATCTCAAAAAAAATAATAAGTACTGTCTTGACTGTGGTCATCAAAAATATTTGATTACGGGTTAGCTAGAAAGCCTGACCCTTTCACAGATGGACAGAAGGGCCAAAAGAAAATAGAATGTTTGCACTGGGGCAAGAAGGAAAAGAATCCTATGGGAAAAAAAAAAAAAAAAAAGAGGGATTGGTTTAGTGAGAGCTGGGGAGAGGCATTTGTTTTCTTGCTTAAAAAAGAAACACAGGTTGGGTGTGGTGGCTCAAGCCTTAATCCCAGCACTCTGGGACGCCAAGGTGGGTGGATCAGCTAAGGTCAGGAGTTCGAGACCAGCCTGGCCAACACTGTGAAACCCCATCTCTACTAAAAAGACAAAAAGAAAAAAAAAGCAATTAGTCAGGCATGGTGGTGGGCGCCTGTAATCCCAGTTACTTGGGAGGCTGAGGCAGAGAGTCACTTGAACCTGGGAGGCGGAGGTTGCAGTGAGCCAAGATGGCATCATTGCACTCCAGCCTAGGCAACAAGAGTGAAACTCTGTCTCAAACAAAAAAAAGAAAGTAAAAAACATACTTTTAAGTCCACTCAGTAGAGTTTAAAAATACATTCCCATTGTGCAGTGCTTTTGGAATCTTTTCTAAACTTCTGTTGCATATGATCTAACTTGATCTTCATAGCAACTCCCTGAGGTGGATAAGGCAGGCCTTTCTGAACACTTATTTTCTAGTTTGCGTTAAAAGAATGGAATTGGCTGGGACCAGTGGCTCATGCTTATAACCCCAGCACTTTGTGATACAGAAGGGAAGTGCTCGGAAGGGAAGAATGTGGTCCCTTTAAATGATATGGAAGTGAGGAAGGGAAGTACTGGGTAGAGGAGGGTGTGGTCGCTGGCTAGTGCTCCACCCCAGGGCCTGTGCCCAAGGACCTAGGTGAGGACAGGGATTTTTGTTTTCCTGACCAAATGTTGCATTTCCGAAGACCACCTTGGATGCCACACCCCCATTCTGTGCCTATAAAAACCCTGAGACCCTAGAAGGCAGACACACAGGCAGCTAGACTTCAAGAGGAGCATATCAGCAGAGGAACACATGGGCGCTGCATGTCAAGAGGAACGCACCAATGGGCACCGGCACACCGCAGGCCACTGACTGGCAGAACAAGGCAGAGTTTGGCTGGGACAGTCGGAAAAGAGTCAGGTCACTTGCCCGACTCCAGGGGAAAACCATCTTCCTTCTGGCTCCCCCATCTGCTGAGAGCTACTTCCACTCAATAAAACCTAGCACTCTCACGCCTGTAATCCCAGCACTTTGGGAGGCCAAGGCGGGTGGATCACGAGGTCAGGAGATCGAGACCATCTTGGCTAACACGGTGAAACCCCACCTCTACTAAAAATACAAAAAAATTAGCTGGGCGTGGTGGTGGGCGCCTGTAGCCCCAGCCACTCGGGAGGCTGAGGCAGGAGAATGGTGTGAACCCGGGAGGCGGAGCTTGCAGTGAGTTGAGATCGCACCACTTCCGGTACACCAAGGCAAGAACCCCGGGACAAAGAGAGCCCTCTGTCTTTGCAATAAGGCGGGGGTCTAATTGAGCCGACTAACACAAGCTACCTACGGATGGCTAAACTAAAAGAGCACCCTGTAACACACGCCCACTGGGGCTTCAACTATAAACATTCACCCCTAGACACTGCCATGGGGCTCCCTGCCTGTCTTCATGCTCCCCTAGAGGTTTGAGCAATGGGGCACTGATGAAGCGAACCACACCTCCATCGCATGCCCTTCGAGGGGGACAAGGGAACTTTTCCCATTTTATCCGAGAGGCCAAGGCAGGAGGATCGCCTGAGCCCACGAGTTTGAGACCAGCCTGTGCAACATAGCAAGACCCCATCTCTACAAAAACAAATAAGTAAACAAAAAAAATAAACATTAAAAATTAGCCAGGTGTGGTGACACACACCTTTAGTCCCAGCTACTCAGGAGGCTGATGTGGAAGGATGGATTGAGCCCAGGAGGTTGAGGCTGCAGCGAGTCAAGATTGAACCACTGCATTCCAGCCTGGGCGACAGAGTGACACCCTGTTTCAACAACAACAAAAAGAATTGAACAAAATAAATTCTCAAATAGTTAGCAGAGGCAGATCTGGTATTCAAATGCAGGTTTTCCAGGTTTCAATTCTTGTTTCTAGCAGTATTATGGAGAAACATGATCACTAATACATGAAGGAGAGGAGGTTTCAAGTTCTGATGAAAAGATGGTAAAGAGAGGAGTTAGTTGACTAGGAGTGACTAGGAATGGGGAGAAAACACGTGGCACTACTTACAGGAAAGAAGAAAAATAAGCATAGAGGTGACTGAGCAGACAGAAAGGACTTGGAAGAAGCGTGTTTGGCCCTGACTCTGCATTTCTTCCCTTGCATTAGTAACTTCCCTGATGACCTGGATGAATCTTCTCTTCCAGGGCACCCAGTGTTCCCTTTCTGTCCACTTCTCCTTTCCCAGGGCCCATACAGTCTGGGAAAGCATGCTCTGCAGGCTTCTCATATCTTTCCTTCCTTAATCAGCCCCTAGCATCTCTATGTAACCCATACACACCTGGAGTTCCACATGTCCCAGTCTTTGCACTGCAGTGAATTCAAAGAAAGGTAGACTCTAGCTGGGCGCAGGGACTCACACCTGTAATCCCAGCACTTTGGGAGGCCGAGGCAGGCGGATCACTTGAGCCCAGGAGTTCAAGACCAGGCCTGGCCAACATGGTGAAACCCCATCTCTAGTAAAAACACAAAAATTAGCTGGGCTTGGTGGTACATGCCCAATAGTCCCAGCTACTGGGAGGCTGAGGCAGAAGAATTGCTGGAACCCGGGAGGCAGAGGTTGCAGTGAGCTGAGATCATGCCACTGCACTCCAGCAGCCTAGACAACAGAAGAAGGCCCAGTCTCAAAAAAACACAAAGACAAAACTAAACCAAACGCACACACACACACACACACACACACACACACACACAAACAAAGGTTGACTCCAATAGGAAAAATTCAGTCAAAAGCAGTTCAAATAATTACTCAGTCAACCCAGTTCTATCTCAGTTCTTTATTATATATATAAACTTATGCTGTCTAGATTCCCTAGTTTTCTTTTTATCTTTTTTGTTTTCTTTTGAGACAGGGCCTCACTCTGCCACCCAGGCAGGAGTATAGTGGCACGATCATGGCTCGCTGCAGCCTCAGCCTCCTGGGATGAAGTAGTTCTCCCACCTCAGCCTCCCAAGTAACTGGGACTACAGGTGCATGTCACCATGCTCAGCAACTTTTTGTATTTTTTGTAGAAACGGGGTCTCACTATGTTGGCCAGGCTGGTCTTGAACTGCTGCACTCAAGAAGTCCACCTGCCTCAGCTTCCCAAAGTGCCAAGATCACAAGCATGAGCCACTGCACCTGGCTGATTCCTTAGTTTTCTTTTTCTCTTTGCCCATTGCCTGGATTCCATAAGCAGAAGGAAAACCCGGGGGCTGACATTGTAGGCAAGACTCTTTCCTCTTCAAAACGTAAATTGGTTCAACTGGTACCAAAACTGAAACGTGTTTATAACTTAACATCTTTTCTTACTACCCCTTCAATCTCTTGAGCAATGAGAAAAGGCACTGGGCTCTTTCTTTAGTGACACATAGTCTGTGCCCTCAAAGAACACTGACACCCCGGCAACATCCATTCGAAGAGCTTATCCGTACCTCCCCTCCTTTATCCCCAAGGTCACTGGGTCAGAGCTCACGGAGTCATTCACAACACGATGTTTAACACTGAGAGGCTCTGGAAGTGCTCCTTCAAGACTCAGAAGAAGACCCATTGCTGAGACAATCGTGTTCTCTCTCTCTCTCTGGATCACCGCCCAGAGACAAGGACTTCCGGAGACCCTGGCTTCCCCGGCTGCTGCCTCTCATTCCTGCACCTGTGGGATGAGAGTTCGAAGCTGTGCGACCTTGACCAAGTTACTTACCCTCTCTAAGCATATGTTTCCCTAAATGTGAAATAGGGATGATGGTGATGTGTTTATTTCACCGATTTGATAGAAGGATTAAATGAGAGATGCATCAAAAGCAGTGGGCACAGGGTCAATGCTCAGTGAGCTTTCTCTTTTCTTATCAATAGATAGGTCTCCATGAGGACAGAGACTGGCTTCATCTCGACTGTAGCCTCAGGGCTGGCCACAGTGTCTGCACCCAGCAGGAATTCAGTAAATATCTGTTTATACACTATCCACAGACTTAGGCATAAAAGCCCTTTGGAAGAAAGTTGACCATTTCATGCACCTTCAGACTATGAAGAGCAATGATGACAACTTTAGCTTGAGAGGGTCTCAGTGCCCATTCATCACCACTGTGAAAAGGCAGAAACCAGAACTGTGTGCTTAACTCCCAGTCCCAAAACCTGTCGGCTTTGCTTTATCACTATGAGCTTCCAATGGCATCCCTTTAGAATGGGGCCTCTCTCTTCTTCCCCAAGGCACCAGCCTTCACCCCAGACCTATCCTTATTACCTGGTTCCTCCTCTCTGTACTCTGAGCCCATGCTGTGCTCGTCAGATAGCAACATGGGAGAATACAACAGCCCAGAATGCAGGCTGCAGTGTTAGCTCCCTAGAAGAGGATCTCAGCTGGCTCCATCCCTCCTCAGCTGGGCGACCGTGGCCAATGACTTGCTCTCTCTGCCTGAGTTGCTCCATCTGGGAAGTTAAGATTGTCATACTCCCTGCTTCAAAGAGTCACTGAGAGGATTAACTGAGAAAGTGCAGGGAAAGTGCTTGGAACTAAATGCTTAAAAAAAGTCCATCTGGCCCGGTGCGGTGTCTCACGCCTGTAATCCCAGCACTTCGGGAGACCAAGGCAGGCGGATCACTTGAGGTCAGGAATTCAAGACCAGCCTGGTCAACATGGCAAAACCCCGACTCTACTAAAAATACAAAAATTAGCCAGGCATGGTGGCAGGCACCTGTAATTCCGGCTACTTGGGAGGCTGAGGCATGAGAATCACTTGAACCTGGGAGGCAGAGGTTGCAGTGAGCCAAGATGGTGCCACTGCACTCCAGCCTGGGCAACAAGAGTGAAACTCTGTCTCCAAAAAAAAAAAAAAAAAAAAAGGTCCATCATTCTTACTAACGGAGGCCAAATCATCTCAGCACTTCTTTGGCTGATCAGTATGCTCCAAGCCAGTGTTATCCAATAGACCAGAGGTCCCTAGTCCCCAGACCACGGACCAGTAGTGGTCTGTGGCCTGTTAGGAACTGGGTTGCACAGAAGGAGGTGAGCAGCAGGCTAGCGAGTGAAGCTTCATCTGTATTTACAGCTGATCCCCCTGGCTGAGCTCTGTCTCCTATCAGATCAGCAGTGGCATTAGATTCTCATAGGAGCACCAACCCTATTGTGAACTGCATGTGGAAGGGATCCAGGTTGTGTGTTCCTTATGAGAATCTAATGCCTGATGATCTGTCACTGTCTCCTACCACCCTGAGATGGGATTATCTAGTTGCAGGAAAACAAGCTCAGGGCTCCCACTGATTCTACATTATGGTGAGTTGTATAATGATTTCATTATATATTATAATGTTCATAACAATAAAAATAAAGTACACAATAAATTTAATGCACTTGAATCATCCGGAAACTTCCCCCCAAAAATCCATGGAAACTGGTCCTTGGTGCTAAAAAAAATTGGGGACCACTGCATTAGACTATTCGGTCATGGTCCAATCAAACATTCTGCAATGGCAGACTTGCTCTACTCTGCACTGTCCAATATGGGAGCTGCTAGCCACCCACATGGGCTGTTGAGCCCTTGAAATGTGGCTGGTGAGAATGAAGAGCTGAATTTTCAATTTTCTCTTATTTTACCTAATTTTTTTTTTTTTTGAGACAGAATCTCACTCTATTCCCCAGGCTGGAGTGCAGTGGCACAACTTTGTCTCACTGCAACCTCCATCTCCCAGGTTCAAGCAATTCTCCTGCCTCAGCCTCCTGAGAACCTAGGATTACAGGAACCCGCCATCATGCCCGGCTAATTTTTGTATTTTTGTAGAGACAGGATTTCACCATGCTGGCCAGGCTGATCTTGAACGCCTGACCTCAGGTGATCTGCCCACCTTGGCCTCCCAAAGTGCTGGGATTACAGGCATGAGCCACCATGTCCGGCCTTAATTCATTTCTAAAGCACAAAATCTAAACAACAAGTGGCTAGGAGCTACCATAGTTTACAAGGCAGCTGTAGAATCACAGGAAATTGTCAATGACCCTGTCCTGCTTCAAGTTGACTTTTCCCCCTCATGGTGACACTCTAGATTCTTTCCCCTTCTCTCACATTTTTTAGATTTTCTGGCTTAGACCATGAAAATAAGTTCTGTCCTTCCAAGAAAATAACGTTCATAACACTTAGTGTATACCAGGCTGATTTCAGTGCTTTACATGTATTAATTTACAACAACTCTGAGGCAAGAGCTGTGATTATGCCCATTTGACAGATGAGAAAACTGAGGCACAAAGTGGTGTTGGAACTTCTCAAAGTCACAAAGGTTGCAGGAGGCAGAACTTGGATTTGAACTCACTTTGGGTTCAGCAACTCACAGCTCTCACCTATGACATAATATTACTTCTGTAGTCAAAACACTTAGACCTGGATTTCACAGGAATCTTGTGCTTGCCTGGCTGCTAGGGAGGTTTTCATCATCTTCCTTATCTCACAGTTCAAAACCCAGGGCCTCCATGCTCTTGCTATGGTGGCCGTTCACTGGCAGGAGGCTTCTGGGAAGGTTCTTCTTTTCTGTCATTTTTCTTATTTGTGTTTTTTTGTCTCATTGGTGTTTATCTGCAGAACTTTGTTTCCTTCTGCTCAATTCATAATCAGAGTGCTTTTCCTCTTGGCTGAATTCATAAGTGTTTATGCAAAAAGAAGTTGGGCACAGATCCAGGCGACTGATGACACCCGGCTCCTCTGGCAAGTGGATATCAAATTGTTGTATGTCGCTCTGCCATTCGCGGCTCCTGCTGTGGGGCTGGGCCATCTGCCAGCTCTCCAAGGAGCTGGCAGGAAACCGCTGCAATCAGCGAACCCACGGCCCAGGTCAGCCCGCCTCGGCATAGCACTCCAGCTGGCCCCCAGTGCCTTTTGGGGACACACCTGCATTGCCAGGCAGGGCTGTGGGAGGGCCGCCTGCCTCCTGTCCATCACAAGGAAAACCTACCCTTGTCCTGCGTCCCTTCAAGGCAGCCTATGTGGAGATTGCTGCATTAACCTTTAATATGGCTATCATTTTTCCTTCAATGACAGTAATGCTGCTAGAACCCATCCAGATACCCAGGAACTAATGTGACTTAGCAGATGATGCTGGAAAGATGGGATTCCCGGCAGCCTTTGCATCCCTTGCTCACAGCCCACGAGCATCTCCACCATCCAGCAGGGCTTCTCTCACAGTCAGGGCAGAAAGAGAGAGAGTCTATCTGGAACAGGCTCGGATTTTAAATGAGTGTTCCCAATAATTCAACATGATCGATGGCTGAGGTATTTCACCAAGTTCAGGAGTCCCAGTTCTCAGAGAGAGGCAGCCAGCCATGACTGTAAGACCTGGGCAAACCGTACAAAGAAGACGGCAGGTCTCACCCCTCCCCAGAGAGCTCCAGAGAGTATCAAAGAGTGAAACAGCAGAGGGATGGTCTGGGTGGGGTCATCGTGGCTGACAAGGGTCTGTGACAGCACCTTGTTAGGCTACTCCGAAGAGGAAATTTGGAGAGAGAGTGGGAGGGCAGCTCTCAGTGCAAGCCAAGTCTCCTGGAAAATAACTTTCAAACTTTGGAGGATTGTGAGCAAGATGGGACCAGCAACTTCTACCTAAAAGAATGTTAATAGCAAGATAACTCATCCTAATATTGGTACAAGCTAGGTCTTTATTATGCATCATAAAGGCTCTGAGAATAACAATGTAACCTCCAAAAGGGCTGGGGCTTTGAAGAATCTCAGGCAACTCGCTTCGTTCTGCTCAGTGACTCCCCTGGAGCAAAGCAAAGCAAGGAAACACTTAGAGCCAAGCTTGAGTTTTGAATTTCAAACACAGGGAGTCCATCTCTTTCTACCCAATTGTTCCCTAGAATCAGTAACTATCTCCTTCCCCTTAACGGCACGTACTTCCTACCAAAGCACAAGCACGATGGGCTGTCCATGAGCCTCCCCCAAATATGTGCACCTTGTGACATAAATTCTGTCAGCCAAAGACACCAGACAAAATGCAAAACCAAAGTGGAGCCTTTCCTTGAATTATAGGTTCTAAAGAGTTTTGGGCTCTCTACAAAACCCAAGAGTTAGGAATTGCCTGTAAGAAGCACCAGCCCTTGTTTTAAAGAGGCAATTTAAGAATAATAGCCACGCTGATGCCACACTACGATAAGGGAGAATAATTAACCTAATAAAACTAGCGATTTTCCAATTACTTTTGCTGCTGGAAACACTGATTATGCTAATTAAAGGGTAGAATAGTAAATACTGACTCTTTTGCATCCAATTAAGTGTTCAGATTATTTCTCAGAAGTGTTTGTTGAAAATAGCACTTCTGATAATCGTGGGTCCCAAATAAACAGTCAATTGTGGTGTGGTACATGTGTGAGTGTGTGTGTGAGTGTGTGTGCATGTGCACACATGTGTCTTTCTGGAGCTCATTTTATGGAGATCCTGCATAGCTCCCCAAATTCCTATGAGACCAAATAAGAAAAATCACAGTTTCCTAAGACTACAGCTTGGGATATCTTTGGAAAAGGTGTGTATTGAGAACACAGCATACAGAACCTATTTCACATTGGCAATATCTGTGATTTAACATTGCAAACATCAGAAATACAACTGGTTCTTCAGAGCCACCTAAGTCCCTCATAATGGCAATATTAGCTTCTTCTAAATAATAAGTTAGCCAGTGAAACTATGTTCTACAGCATGTTAGAAGTTTCATCCTTCTAGTCAATGTCACATTTCAAGGCAAAGTCGATTGATATGTAAGTTAACAAAAGTGCTGTCACTAAAAATTGAGAATTATGTCTAATGCCAATCAGAAATGGAATAAATAAGTATTAGAGGATTTGCAAGTAAAAGCAACCATAGAAATGCTTTTATCAGGAAGGAAAATGTATTACCTGCAGAGGTTACAGATAAGACGCTAGAACCCAGAAGAGAAAGAATCTCTGTAAATATTTCCATTAAGTTAATCAAGAGTGGCTGGGTACGGTGGCTCATGCCTGTAATCCCAGGACTTTGGGAGGCCAAAGCAGGCAGATCACGACGTCAGGAGTTCAAGACAAGCCTGGCCAACATGGTGAAACCCTGTCTCTATTAAAAATACAAAAAATTAGCCAGGTGTGGTGGCGTGCAACTGTAATCCCAGATACCCGGGAGGCTGAGGCAGGAGAATTGCTTTAATCCAGAAGGCAGAGGTTGCAGCGAGATGAGATCACACCATTGCACTCCAGCCTGGGTGACAGATCATGGCTCCGTTTTGAAAAAAAAAAAAAAAAAAAAAAAGAAGGAAAGTTAATCAGGAGTGAGAATAGGATGAGTTTTTCACCCACAAAAGGAGATGAGATTCATGCGTTCTTTCAACATGCATTCCATCAATAGTGAGCACATGCTCTGAGCTAGGCCCGTTCTAGGTCCCAGGAAATGGGTAACTAACCAGACATGACCACTGATTTGGAGCTCACATTTTACAGCAGCTAAATGGACAGTAAACAAGTAAGCAAATTAAGATCATCTTAAGTTGGGGGAAGTTCTTTACAGAAGCACTTCCACAAAGCTGAATCGCATCATAGACTATGACTGCCAGGTGGTAGGGAAGGTAATATCTCACCTGCCTGTGGATAGCAGAGCTTCTGAGGCCTTGCAAAGTATTTAGTACTAAGATATCTGTCTTAGGTCAAGTTCCCTAAAAGCAGAGCCTGAGGCAGGGATTGAGTGCATGTAATTCATTCAGGACTCTCAGTAGATAGGAGTAAGGAAAACAGGATATGGCAGGGAAGGAGCTAAGTGAGATGTGGTCTCAGCTGGAGACTGGCTCCAGTCTGATCTCACAGGGAGTTCCAGAGGATCAGCTGCACCACCATGTTATCCCAGACTGAGATCTTTTGTTCTCCTGTATCAGCCGGTCCCTGGCCAAGGGCTGCAGACTCTCTTGGGGCCCCAGCAGACTGGAGGAGAAGGAGCATGGTCTGTGGTCTACTCTTTTGTGCACCCCCACCCACCTCTTCCCCAGCTGACACTGCTGGAGGAGGAGAGGGAAGAGATGTCATCTCCTCCTATGGCAACCTGTGGGATAGCAATGGCCCTTTTCCTGTTGGGTGTAACCTCCTGCCATCTCTTGCTGTCTGCAGCCTGACAGAGAAGGGTGAAGGTCACCAGGTTCCACTGACAGCGGTCATTGTCTCAAGCAGCAACCCTAGGACTGCAGCTCCCTTGCAAGATTCAGCCACATCTCATGACTGTCTGCAACACACCCCATGCCTCTGATGGAAGGAACCCAATGCCCCATGCTGCACCCATTTCTGCCAGACTGGGGTCCCTGATCTCAATTTCCCTCTGCAGTCCCCAACTCTGGGGTCTGCAGACACATTTCAGATCCATCCTTAGTACCTCCCAGGAGGCAGAAGCCAGAGGAAATAATCCTTGCCCCAATGCACCTGAGCATGCCACTTCACTGTATGCTCTTTCTCCCTCTCCAGGAAAAAATCAAGCTTGTTGAATACTTACCAATGCGCCCACATGAATTTAGTCCCCATAACCACTTAATGGGGCAGCATTATCATCCCCAAGTTACAGATGAGGAAACTGAGGAGAGCATTTATATAACATGCATCTAAGTGGTGGACAAAGGATCTAACCAGGCAGTGTGGCACCAGAGCACACTTTTTTGTGCTTTAGGGAGATGGGGTCTCTCTCTGTCCCTCAAACTGGAGTGCAGTGGCCTGATCATGGCTCACTGCAGCCTTGAACTCCCGGGCTCCAGCAATCTTCCCGCCTCAGCCTCCTGAGTAGCTGGGACTACAGGCATTCACCACCAACCCAGCTAATTTTTAAAACATTTTTCTAGAGATAGGGTCTGATCTCAAACTCCTGACTTCAAGCGATCCTCCTGCCTCAGCCTCCCAAACTGCTGGGATTACAGTCATAAACTCCTGCGACCAGCCCAGAGCACACTTTTTTTTTTCTTTTGAGATGGAGTCTCACTCTGTCACCCAGGCTGGAGTGCAGTGGCAAGATCTCGGCCCAGGGCACACTTTTAACCACCATATCATTCTGCCTCTGGGTAGGTCAGTCAAGCTCTGTAGCTGATCAGATGTCTGTAGAGAGAAGGAGACATCAGTCTCCCCATCTTCCAAACACCCCCGAATTTTACAAGTGATTTTCTCAGATCCCTCAGCATCAGGAATGGGGATGAGCAGGGCAGCCTGTCCCCTTCCCAACAGCCCAGCAGATATCCCAAGATTACATCTCATTGGCTCTGACTAGGACATGAGCCCAAAGCTGAACCAGTTGCTGTAGCCATGGCATGCAGCATCTTCGGTCCTCTGGCCAGGCCAGAGCCACATCCCACCTCTGGATCCTCGAGTTGAGTCAATACATCTTGAACCAGGCACGGACTGAAGCTCAAGGGGGAGTCAGAGTAATGTGACCCAGCCCACCATGTAGTGGGTGCTGAGCAGGCAAGCATTCATCACCCACTGCACACACCAGGGAAGGCTTGTGGTGGCTAAGTCCCACCTGAGGGCAAAGAAAAGAGTGCCTGCTCCGTGCCAAAATGTGATGCCCAACACTGTATCTTAAAGCTAGCTGGCTTTGTAATCCCAGCTACTTGGAGGCTGAGAGAGGAGAATCACTTGAATCCAGGAGGCAGAGGTTGCAGTGAGCCAAGATCACACCATTGCACTCCAGCCTGGGTGACAAGAGAGAAATTCTGTCTCAAAAAAAAATTAAAAAAAGCTAGTCGGCTTCATCCTCGCAAAGATGCCATCTACTTTTTGGCATTCTACAGGTAGAAACACTGAGGCACTGGAAAATTTTAAAACTCACCACCAGCCTGGCGTGGTGTCTCATGCCTGTAATCCCAGCACTTTGAGAGGCTGAGGCAGGAGAATTAGTTGAACCCAGGAGTTCAGGACCAGCCTGGGCAAATTAGCGAGACCTCATCTCTACAAAAAAAAAAAAAAAAAAAAAAAAAATTAGGGCTAGGTGCGGTGGCTCACACATGTAATCCCAGCACTTTGGGAGGCCAAGGCAGGTGGATCACTTCAGCCCAGGGGTTCGAAACCAGCCTGGCCAACATGACAAAACTCTATCTCAACTAAAAATACAAAACTTAGCTGGGCATAGTGGCACGTGTCTATAATCCCAGCTACTTGGGAGACTGAGGCAGGACAATTGCTTGGACCCAGGAGTCAGAAGTTGCAGTGAGCTGAGATCGTGCCACTGCACTCCAGCCTAGGTGAGAGAGTGACACCGTGTCACAAAAAAAAAAAAAAAAAAAAAAAAAAAAAAAATATATATATATATATATATATATATATGTATGGTGGTACATGCCTGTGGCCCCAGCTACTCAAGAGGCTGAGGTGGGAGGATCGCTTAAACCCAGGAGTTCAAGGGTGCAACGAGCTATGATTGTACCACTGCAGCACCATATATACACATATATATGTATATGTATATAGGTATGTCTATATATACACATATATACACGTATATGTGTGTGTATATATATATATATATATATATGTATATATATAAAAAACACACATGCACAAATTCACCACCAACAACACAGAAATTACCGTCTCCCTCTATTCTAAGGAATTATTTTTCATTTTGCCATCTCTGAAGTTGGAATACACCTTACAATCACTGGTAAGTCACGGTCTCGTTGGCAGCATTTTTCTGCTTAGTAGCCCATAAAATAATAGCACATCTTGTAACTAACAGTGTTGTAGATGCTATGAGATCCTGGGGAAGCCCAGAATCTAACTCCACCCTGTCTGACTCCAAAGACCACATATTTTCTATGTCTTTGGACTGGGGCACAGATGTAGACAACTCGAGCTTTGCTGATTGTGAGAAAGGTATGATAAATGGCCCTGACGGAATTTTCTTCTTGTACTTGCAGGGCAACAAAGCAGCATCATCCCACTATTCCAGGGGAGGTGCTAAATACGAGGGTGAGGCTGTCAAGCAGTCCCTGGTGGAGTCCTACACTCACCCAAACAGCAACGAGACAGAGCGGAGTGCGAACATCGATACTGTCATGAACTGGTTCACCAAGGAAGACTTTGACTTTGTGACTCTGTGTTACAGAGAGCCAGATAACGTGGGACATCGATTCAGGCCAGAGGCAGAGAATAGGAAGTTGATGATTCAGCAAATCGACAGGACCATCAGGTATCTGGTGGGAGCCACTGAGAAGCACAGCCTGCAGAACACCTCAGCGTCATCATCACATGAGACCATGGGATGACCACCGTGAAGAAGAGACCCAATGTCAACAAGATCCCTTGTCCAACTACATCAAGTTTATGGACTTGGTCAAGTTTGATATTGTGGGCTACGGTGGCTTTGGGATGCCCCTGCCCAAATTGGGGCAAGAGGAAGCCCTTTACCAGGCACTGAAGAATGCGTACCCTCACCTCCACATCTACAAGAAGGAGGGGTTTCCAGAACACTTCCATCTCGCTAAACATGACCGGGTTCTGCCAATCGTGATGTATGCCAACTTTGGTTACAGTATCAATGGGGTAAGTTCATTCTAAAATGAATAAAGTCACCTTGGATCTAGGAGACATCCATTAGGGAAGGGTGGTTCTGCAAAAATCAAACATAAGAGCACAGCCGGGCACGGTGGCTCACGCCTATAATCCCAGCACTTTGGGAGGCTGAGGCAGGTGTATCACCTGAGGTCAGGAGTTTGAGACAAGCCTGGCCAACATGGTGAAACCCCATCTCTACTAGAAATACAAAAATTACCTGGGCGTGGTGGTGCGCATCTGTAGTTCCAGCTACTCTGGAGGCTGAGGCAGGAGAATCGCTTGAACCTGGGAGGCAGAGGTTGCAGTGAGCTAAGATCGTGCTACTGCACTCCAGTCTGGGCAACAGAGTGAGACACTGTCTCAAAAAAATATAATATAATATAATATAATATAATATAATATAATATAATATAATGTAATATAATATAATAAAACAAAACAAAACAAAACAAAATAAAATAAGTGCCCACGCTACGAGCTGTAGCCCACAGGGTCCTAAATGTTCCCCACCCCCCGCCCAACCAATGCTGCCCCAAATTACCATTATACAAGATTAATGACCAATTCAACTCGACAAGGCTGATTTAAAAATAAAAATAAGGCTGGCCATGGTGGTTCACACCTGTAATCTCAGTGTTTTGAGAGGCCAAGACAGGAGGATTGCTTAAGGCAAGGAGTTCAAGACCAGCCCGGGCAACATAGGGAGACCCCAACACTACAAAAAACAAACAAATAAATAAATAGCCAGACATGGCGATGCATGCCTGTAGTCCCAGCTACTCAGGAGGCTGAGGTGGCAGGATTTCTTGAGCCCAGGAGGTCAAGGCTGCACGAAGCTGTGATTGCACTACTGCACTCCAGCTTGAGCAGCAGACAAGACCCCGTCTCTAAAAAATAAATAAACAAATAATAAAAAATAAACACCAACTTCATTATTCAAAATTGTGCATAGCGCTTCACTAAACATTGAATAGCAGTTCTTTCATTTTTGTCTTCCCAACAACCCTATAAAATAGAGGCTCTTAGTTCCACTATTTAAAAGAAGAAATCAAAACCTAGAGAGAAGTGACTTGAGATTAAAAATGTAAGTTTGGGCTGGGTGTAGTGGCTCGCACCTGTAATCCCAGCACTTTAGAAGGCTAAGGTAGGTATATTGCTTGAACCCAGGAGTTTGAGACCAGCCTAGGCAACACAGTGAAACACCATCTCTACAAAAAATGCAAAAAAATGTAGCTGGGCGTAGTGGCACGTGCCTGTGGTCCCAGCAACTCAGGAGGCTGAGGTGGGAGAACTGCTTGAGCACGGGGGTGTTGAGTCTGCAGTGAGTCATGATCACGCCACTGTGAGATAGGAGGCAGGACTTGACTCCACAGGCGAGGCTTGGACACCAGACCAAATTGAGGACTAGCTAAAACAGGGCTGGGGCAGAAGCAGCTTTCCATCAGACATGCCCACCAGTGTGCTATGTGAGTTGACTATTGCCAAGGCAACACCCGGGAGTTACTGCCCCTTTCCATGGCAATGACCCAATGACTCAAAAGTTACTACCCATTTTCTAGAAATTCCTGCATAAACTGCCCTTTAATCTGCATACAATTAAAAGTGGGTATAAATGTGATTGCAAACTCTCTGCCGCTACTCTTTGCCTCCAGGGTAACCCTGCCCTACAGGAGCAGTCACAGGGCTGTAATGCTGCCTCTTCAATAAAGCTGTTTTCTTCTATACCTCCGGCTTGCCCTTGAATTCTTTCTTGGGTAAAGACAAGAACGCTCACGTGCTATTGAGAGGTGAGAGCATGCCGGCAGCCCTCGAGCTCACTCTCGGTGCCTCCTCTGCCTGGGCTCCCACTTTGGCGGCACTTGAGGAGCCCTTCAGCCCGCCGCTGCACTGTGGGAGCCCCTTCCTGTGCTGGCCGAGGCTGGAGCCGGCTCCCTCAGCTTGCAGGGAGGTGTAGAGGGAGAGGCCTGGGCAGGAACCGGGGCTGGGCGTGGCGCTTGCGGGCCAGCGCGAGTTCCGGGTGGGCATGGGCTCACTGGGCCCAGCACTCAGAGTGGCCTGCCAGCCCCGCTGGACCCAGGCAGTGAGGGGCTTAGCACCTGTGCCAGCAGCTGCTTTGCTCAGTTTCTCGCAGGGCCTTAGCTGCTTCCCTGCAGGGCAGGGCTCGGCACATGCAGCCCACCATGCCTGAGCCTCCCCCCAACCCTCCGTGGGCTCCTGCGCAGCCTGAGCCTCCCTGATGAGTGCCAAGCCTCCCCAATGAGCACCGCCCCCTGCTCCAGGGCGCCCAGTCCCATCAACCACCCAAGGGCTGAGGAGTACCAGCACAGGGCGTGGGAGTGGCAGGCAGCTCCACCTGTGGCCCCCGTGTGGGATCCACTTGGTGAAGCCAGCTGGTCTCCTGAGTCTGGTGGGGACTTTGAGAAGCTTTATGTCTAGCTAAGGGATTGTAAATACACCAATCGGCACTCTGTATCTAGCTCAAGGTTTGTAAATACATCAATCAGCACCCTGTGTCCAGCTCAGGGTTTGTGAATGCACCAATCGACACTCTGTGTCTAGCTAATCTAGTAGGGACTTGGAGAACTTTTGTATCTAGCTCAGGGATTGTAAATGCACAAATCAGCACCCTGTCAAAACAGACCAATCAGCTCTCTGTAAAACAGACCAATCGGCTCTCTGTAAAATGGACCAATCAGCAGGATGTGGGTGGGGCCAGATAAGGGAATAAAAGCAGGCTGCCCCAGCCAGCAGTGGCAACCCACTGGGGTCCCTTTCCACACTGTGGAAGCTTTGGTCTTTTGCTCTTTGCAATAAATCTTGCTGCTGCTCACTCTTTGGGTCCACATTGCCTTTATGAGCTGTAACACTCACCTCGAAGGTCTGCAGCTTCACTCCTGAAGCCACCGAGACTATGAACCCAATGGGAGGAACAAACAACTCCAGACGCGCCACCTTAAGAGCTGTAACACTCACTTTGAAGGTCTGCAGCTTCACTCCTGAAGCCAGCGAGACCACAAACCCACCAGAAGGAAGAAACTCTGAACACATCCGAGCATCAGAAGGAACAAACTCCAGACACGCCGCCTTTAAGAACTGTGACACTCACCGTGAGGGTCCACGGCTTCATTCTTGAAGTCAGTGAGACCAAGAACCCACCAGTTCCGGACACACTATGCTCCACTTCGGGGCTCCCCTGCCCTGCGTCAACTGCACTCTGGCCTGGGTGGCAGAGAGAGAGACCCTATCTTAAAAAAAAAAGAAAGAAATGTAAGGTTAAGTGCTGCCCCCAAGCCTGAGTGGCTGATCATTATACAGAGTACACAAAGATCACCAAAACAGTCACTACAGAGGCCCCCCGCTGCTGGTTCTCATTTGCCCATATCAAAAAATATGCAAGCCTGTTCATACAAAGACACACACAGATGCTCGTAGCAAAATTATTCATAATTGTCAAAAGTTGGCAACAACACAAATGCCTATCAACAACAGATGAATGGGCAAACAAATACAGTCTACCCATGTGATGGAACATTAATCAGCCAAAATATGGAATGAAGGGCTGATTCATGCTACAACCTGGATACACCTTGAAACCATTAGGCTAAGTGAGAGAAGCCAGACAAATATTAGATGATTATATATATATATATATATATATATATATATATATATATATATATGCCCAGAATATGAAAATCCAAAGAAACAGAAAGTAGATTAATGGTTGCCAGGAGCCAGGGGTGGGGATAGTCGGGGAGAAATAAGGGGTGACTGCTAATGGATACAGGGTTTCTTCTGGGGTAATTAAAATTTCTAAAATTGATGGTGATGATGGCTGCAAAACTCTGTGAATATATTAAAAACCACTGAAATATACACATTATTTATTTATTTAGAGACAGGATCTGGCTCTGTTGCACAGGCTGGAGTGCAGTGGTGCAATCTCAACTCACTGCACCATCCACCTCCCAGGCTCTAACCATCCTCCCACTTCAGCCTCCTGATTAGCTGGGACTACAGACACACACCATCATGCCCAGCTAATTTTTTTGTATTTTTGGTCAAGACAGGGTTTTGCCATGTTGCTCAGGCTCATCTCAAACTCTTAGGTTCAAGCGATCCTCCCACATCAGCCTCCCAAAGTGCTGGGATTACAAGTGTGAGCCACCATGCCCGGCCAAATGATACACTTTAAATGGGTAAATTGTATGGTATATGAATTATCTTTCAATAAAGCTGTTATTAAAAAGCAGCTTTAAGGGCCAGACATAAGGGCCATGCCTGTAATGCCAGCATTTTGAGAGGCCAAGGCAGGAGGATCACTTGAGCCCAGGAGTTCAAGCCCAGCCTAGACAACATGGCAATACCTGGTCTCTACACAAAATTTAAAAATTAGGATTGGCGTGGTGGCTCACGCCTGTAATCCCAGCACTTTGGGAGGCTGAGGTAGGGGGATCACTTGAGGTCAGGAGTTCAAGACCAGGCTGGCCAACATGGTGAAACCCTGTCGCTATTAAAAATATTTTTTAAAAATTAGCCAGGCCTGGTGGTGGGTGCCGAGGCTGAGGCAGAAGAATCGCTTGAACCGAGAGGTGGAGGTTGCAGTGAGCCGAGATTATGCCAGCGCACTCCAACCTGCTGGGCGACAGAGCAAAACTCCATTTCAAAAAAAAAAAAATTAAAAATTAAAAATTAGCCAGAGGTGGTGGCTCGTGTTTGTAGTCCCAGCTACTCAGGAGGCTAAAGTGGGAGGACTGCTTGAGCCCAGGAGGTTGAGGCTGCAGTGAGCCAAGACTGTGTTGTTGCACTCTGGCCTCAGCAACAGAACAAGACCCTGTTTCACAATTTTAAAAACAACTAAAAAACAAGCCTAAAGAAAACACAAAAACCAATGCTAACTGTGAGACATAAATGAGGTGGTCTATTTTTTGTTAACTACCAACTAACAATTCATGGCAGAAACAAAGTTTAAATGATGCTATAGCCGGGAGCTGTGGCTCACACCAGTAATCCCAACACTTTGGGAGGCTGAGGCGGGTGGATCACCTGAAGTCAGGAGTTTGAGACCAGCCCGGTCAACATGGTGAAACCCTGTCTCTACTAAAAATACAAAAATTAGCCAGGTGTGGTGGCGCGTGCCTATAATCCCAGCTACTCGGGAGGCTGAGACTGGAGAATCGCTTGAACCCCGGGGGGGCGGAGGTTGCAGTGAGCCAAGATCGCACCATTGCACTCCAGCCTGGGCGACAGAGCGAAACTCCGTCTCAAAAAATGAATAAATAATTAAATAAATGATGCTATAAACCTCATGTGAGGGAAGACTGCCCCACGTACAGCTTGAAGAACCCTTGCTGTGAATAGGAGCCAAATACGATAATTATGTTTGCAACTTGCTTCATGTCAGCTTGTTGCAACTCCAGAGTGTAACAGGTATGAGAAAACTCATGGAGTTACTGTTTAATGTTGGTGGAAATATTCACATTAAAATACAACAGTTAATCACCTAAGGTATATTTTATCCCTCAAGTGGCCCGGAACACTGTGATTATTGCACACTAATCGCACGCCCATAGCTAAGGCATTGCCAAGGAGAAATTCCACAGTCACCTGGCCTATTTGTAAACCTGGTTTATGACGTTTTGTAACAGGATATCTTGACAGTAGCATGAGGACATTTAACGAGACAAGAACATTCCCCACTGACCAACCAGATGGTTTCAGGGAACAGGATGCTGTGCTCAGTTTAATATTCTGCTGGACCGACCATTAGGCAGAAAATCCTTTGGGTCAATGCCTCTCACTGAATCCACTTCTCAGATTCCTGTCCACCTGCCTGCTTTGCAGTGCAGTGGGCCTTCCTTGACTCTCTTCAGGGACCAATGTGCTTGAGGCCATCATGAGGACATTCATTTTTTTTTTTTTTTCCTGAGAGACTCTCGCTCGGTCGCCCAGGCTGGAATGCAGTGGTGTGATCTCAGCTCCCCACTGCAATCTCTGCCTCCCAAGTTCAAGTGATTCTCCTGCCTCAGCCTCCTGAGTAGCTGGGATTACAGGCACGCATCACCAGGGCCAGCTAATTTTTCTATTTTTTGTAGAGACAGGGTTTCACCATGTTGGCCATGCTGGTGTCGAACTCCTGACTTCAAGTGATCCACCTGCCTCGGCCTCTCAAAGTGCTGATATTACAGGTGTGAGCCAACGTGCCTGGCCGAGGGCTTTCATTCTCGATGGACTGCTCCATAGCCTCAGAGACAGTCGGACTAGTTTCTTCAACCAGAGCGGAGCAGACAGGCAATTTCTGTATCCACCAGGAGAAATATTAGACCAACTCTTCAATTTACAGAGAGCATCACATTTCTTATATGCTAGAATATCTCTTGGTCTAAAATATAAATAAATAGTATTGTAGCCAGCCACAGTGGCTCACACCTATAATTCCAGAGCTTTGTGGGGCTGAGGCAGGAGGTTCACTTGAGGTCAAAGTTCAAGACCAGCCTGGGCAACATGGCGAGACACCCCCCCACCGCCACCTTCCATCTCTACAAAAATTAAAATAATTAGCTGGGCACAGTAGTGTGGGCCTGTAGTCCCAACTACTTGGGAAGCTGATGTGGGTGGATCGCTTGAGCCCAGGAATTTGAGGCTGCAGTGGGCTATGACTGCATCACTGTACTCCAGCTAGACCTTGTCTCAAAAAAAAAAAAAAAAAAAAAGTTGCAATTGACATTACTTTATCATTTGAAAACAGGGACAGACAAGAAAGGTATTTGGCATTTACCAAGCAATTACCCAGAATCCTCATCCCATCCTACCCCCACCCTTCCCCTAAAAATGTATGTATATGTTTTTATACCATAAAAAATACATCTATTTGGCTCTGGAACCAGATTGCTTGGGTTCAATTACCTGATCTAGCATTTGCTCCTGATGACTCAGTGCAGAAAAGCTCTGTAACTCAGTTTCCCCAGCTGTAAAATGGGGAATGGAGCCTTTACTGGGCTGCCATGAGGGTAAGGGAGGTAACATATATTTATAAAGCATTCAGAACAATTCATGATACATAGTAAGCTCTATATATTTGAACTTATTATTACTGTCAGTACGATTATCATCATCTTGCTGTTTCCAATGGGTACGCTTTCTACATTCTCTTTCTTAAAGACCTTTAAATCCTTGGTATTCTCTCCACCACCACAGAGAGCAGTGTCCTTGCCGTTTAAATTTTCAAAGACTTCATGGATCCAATAAGCATGCCATTAACTAAGGGACAGTTTTCTTTCAGTGGATTAGAATCTAAAATGGCTTTTTTATTGTTATTATTGGCCAGGCTGGTCTCAAACTCCTGACTTCAAATGATACCCCCACGTCACCCTCCCAAAGTGTGCTGAGATTACAGGCATGAGCCACCATGCCTGGCCCTCATTCTCTTCTTTTATAAGGACACCAGTCATTGCATCTGCCCCCTCACTAGCAGCCCCCAATCCAGGATGACTCATCGTTACTTGATTACATCTAGAAAGACCCTATTTCCAAATAAGGTCACATTCCTGGGTACCGAGGATTAAGATTTCCAACTTTTTCCCTGACCCATTTTTTTTTTTTTTTTTTTTTTGAATCAGGGCCTCACCCTGTCACCCAGGCTGGAGTACAGTTATGTGATTATAGCTCACTGCAGCCTCAAACTCCTGGGCTCAAGGGATCCCCTGACCTCAGCCTTCCAAGTGGCTGAGACTACAGGCGCACACCATCATGCCCAACTAATTTTTTTTTTTTTTTTTTGTACAGGTTAGGTCTCACTCTCTTGACCAGGCTGGTCTGACCTCAAGCGATTCTCTTGCCTTGGCCTCCCAAGGCACTGGGATTACAGACATTATCCCGTGCCTGGCCTTCTTTCTACATCTCAATCATTGTATCATTAGCCTGAGCTGCCCATATTCCTTATTCTGCCCATCCCTGACCAATCTCCTCCTTTAACATAACTTCCATCTCGATATCATGGGGCCTGCTGGGCACTGCAAACAGCCTAAGGAAAGTGGAAACTTTACTTAACCTTAAATTCTATTACAAAGCCCACATTGAACGTAATTTATATTTGAACTATAAAAATTTTC
This sequence comes from Homo sapiens, assembly GCF_000001405.40. Classification (NCBI taxonomy): domain Eukaryota; kingdom Metazoa; phylum Chordata; class Mammalia; order Primates; family Hominidae; genus Homo; species Homo sapiens. The sequence continues at coordinate 85,288 of NW_021159989.1, read as the reverse complement.
TGTAAGTTGAAACATGACCTATAAAGGTCTCTACACCCTGAAGCAACGTTTTAGAAAGAAATCAACTGGTCCTTTTCTACAGAAACCATTAACCATAGGAGAGATAAAAGAAAAACTTCAATGTACTGATTGAAACTTCCATGCCCATAGCTTAACTTCTAAAAGGCAACCATTCCATACTGTTAAACTGCCTTAGGTTGTTATTACTATTATTAAAGAGACCCTGAAAGCCAGAAGTTGAATCTTGACTGTAGTTCTTGCACGTACACGCACACTCTTGCAACTGAAACCACTCAGATTGTCCTAATGCTGCTCCCCATAGCAACACCACCTGGAATTTTACGTTTGTTTTTAAGCATCAGTCGTAATCTTCACTTGCACCCGAACACACAGCACCTGTGAGAGCCACGTGACATTAAAAAAATCCCTTCAGTGAGGCCGGGAATGGTGGCTCATGCCTGTAATCCCAGCCCTTTGGGAGGCCAAGACAGGTGGATCATGATGTCAAGAGATTGAGACCATACTGGCCAACATGGTAAAACCCTGTCTCTACTAAAAATACAAAAATTAGCTGGGCATGGTGACGCGTGCCTGTAGTCCCAGCTACCCGAGAGGCTGAGGCAGGAGAATCGCTTGAGCCCGGGAGACAGAGGTTGCAGTGAGCTGAGATCGTGCCACTGCACTCCAGCCTGGCAACAGAAGGAGACTGCCTGAAACAAAAAAATCCCTTCAGTGCCTTTATCCTTCCAGATTCAGATCCAAGAGAGATGACATTTGTCCCTCACCAGAGACTGCACACCAAGATAAAGATTTCTTCTGGCCAGGCGCGGTGGCTCACGCCTGTAATCCCAGCACTTTGGGAGGCCGAGGCAGGTGGATAACCTGAGGTCAGGAATTTGAGACCAGCCTGGCCAACGTGTTCAAACCCTGTCTCTACTGAAAATACAAAAATGTCCCGGCAGGGTGGCTTATGCCTGTAATCCCAGCTACTCGGGAGGCTGAGGCAGGAGAATCGCTTGAACCTGGGAGGTGGAGGTTGCAGTGAGCCGAGGTCGCACCATTGCACTCCAGCCTGGGCAACAAGAGAGCAAAACTCCGTCTCCAAAAAAAAAAAGAAAAAAAGATTTCTTCTGTGTGCATGGCTCAGCTCTGTGGTCCACTAGCGTCCTTCCTCAATCTGCTTCCAATCTATGGACTCAGGAAAGACTGAACCAACCTAGATTTATTAATATTTTAGTATAACATAATACAGTGTTACTTACTATGGCATTGACCGTATATGCCCTTTTGCTCCTTGGAGGAAAGACAATTAATAGCTATTATGTGAGTTAATAAAATAAGCCCAAGATTTATGAGTATAGCTAACCTGTTCCCATTGGTTTTCCTTGTCTCCTGCAGGCAGAGAGCTGATCAAAACAGCAAAAGCAAAGCAGTGCCCCTGGCCCAGTTCTGAAGCCAACCTTCCTTAATCACCCAGACCCATCCCTGGTTAGGACTTGCTGTGGATCCTCAGGTGACTCCATCTCAGGATAGAGGGACTGAGAGGGTGTATGCAACATCTCAGACACAGAAACCGTTGATTCTGTCTAAAAACACAGCAATAACCACATCCCATCCTCTTGATTTAAATGAAAGTGTTTGGGGGAATAAAAGATGAACCTTTTTTTTCTTTGTCAGATCTTGCGCTCATTTGGTTCTGGTGGGGAACAACAGCTATAAGAGAACAAGTGTATTCAATTCGAATTAATTCCCCTCTCTTATTCTCATAGCTGAGCAGGGCTCAAGTGCCTCTCATCTGAAAGAGGTAATAAGATTTTATCTGTCTCCTCATCTACCTTTTGCAAGTATACTTAACAAATTAGCTCTCGAGACTCTTCCAAATGGAGTTTTATGAGGAATTTGCTAAGGTAAACGTTTTAGACTTTGAACACAGTTCAGATTTCGGGGGCAGTACTGAAATCTGAACTGTGTTGCTAACTGCCCTGCCTTTCAACTCAAGACACAATAACTTTGAACTAAAATAATTATATTTTTGTTGTTTTCCACTCTGTCCCCACGTCTATATCACCACCACCCCCCCATCCCACCCCGCAGGAGCTAACTCCTCTTTCCTGTCCCTGCAAGATCAAAACTCCTCCTGCAAGCCCCGCTAGCTCTGTCTGCTCATCTTTGTGGCAGATATCGCTATTGTACTTTTATACTCATTTGTGTGATAAGTACTTCAATGTCCACTTCTTCCACGAGCCCCTGAGCCTCTGGAGGGCCCAGACCACACCTAGTCTTTCTCACCGTTACATCTCCCTTGTCAGGCACATGGTAGGTGCTTAATAAGTATTTGGTGAACGAATGGCTTGTTTGGAGACAGTCCAAAGGCTGGAGGACAGAGGGAAAGCTCCCTCCTTTCGGGCCCCAGACGGGTGGCGCTGATGGAGAGGTTAGGATAAGGCCTCCAGGACCGAAGCGTGCACCTGTAAGGCCCCTGCTAAAAAGACCTTCCTGAAGGCGGAGGTACTGCGAGAGTGTCTACGTTAGCCCAAGGCCTGACCCGACGATCCCAGGGACCCTCGCCCTAACTGGCCCCGCCTCCCGGGCCCCAAACCCAGACTCGGCCCCGCCCGAAGCTCCGGATCCTGGGGCCCGCCCCTGGCCCCGCGTCGGCCGACCGTGGGCTCGCTCCTGGGCGTGCCTCAAACCCTCCGCAGGTAACGCCTCCCAACTTGAGCCACATTCCGATCCCCTCCTCAAACCCCTCCCCGTTTCCCACACCCTGGATCCCTCGCTCCGTCTCGGCCCCGCCCCAAGCCCAGCTAGGTCTCGGCCCCTGAGCCCAGCCCCGACCGGCCTCCCAGTCCCTGGGTCCCTCCCGACACCGGCCCCTCCCTAAGCTCCGCCTCCCAGGGCCCGCCTCCTGAGCGCAGCTGGCAGCCCGGACTCGGCCCCGCCTCCTGGACCCTGGGCCCCTCCCCACGTCGGCCCGTCCAAAGCTCTGCCTCCCAGAGTCCGCGCACCGCCTGGCCATGTGCTACGACATAGTCAACCCCCCGCCCCGGCCCCGCCTCCTGAGCCCTTCTCTGGGTCTGGCCTTAGCCCCACCCTAAGACCTGTCTCCTGGGCTCTGCTCTGAGTCCCGCCTCCTGAACCCAATGGCGTTTATCCCCGCTCTAATGCTCGCCTCCAGGACTCTTATCCTGCCCACACGCAAGGCACCGCCTCCAGGACGCCACCAACCTGGACGCTTCTGAAGCCCAGCTTCCAGGATCGCCCTATCCTGACTCCGCCCCAGGACCCGCCAACCTGGACTCTACCCAGGACCTGCCCCAACGACGCTTATCCTGGCCCTACCCCAGGCCTCGCCCTCCTAACGCTCATCCTGGCCCCGCCCTACAGCCCGCCCCCAGGACGCTCCTCCTGACCCTACCCCCAGGCCCCGCCCCCTCTCTGCCGCCGCGCACTGCCCTGGGCCCACCCCCTCTTCAGTCCAGGCCCGGCTTCCGCCCGGTCTCCCGGCAACGCTGCGGCCCCGCCCACGTCATGGCGCCCGAGGAGAATGCGGGGACCGAACTCTTGCTGCAGAGTTTCGAGCGCCGCTTCCTGGCGGCGCGCACGCTGCGCTCCTTCCCCTGGCAGGGGGGCGGCGGGCGAGCGGAGAGGCCCGCGGGGCTCGCGGGAGTCCAGGGGCAGACGGGATGGGTCTCCGTGCTGAAACCCCCGGCGCTCCTGCCACGTGAGTTCCTGGGCTCTCCCCGGTCAGGGCCGCGAGACCCGGTCCCCGTCCCTGGGGCCTGGCCAGAGTCGCTCGCACCCCTCCTGCCCCGCGAGCTGGCGGCGGAAGATGAGGGCGTCTCCACCGCCTTGGGGGGGCAGACGCGTGCTCGGTGTGGGGTACAGTTCACGATCATTTTCACGACTTTTTAAAGGTAGTAATCGTTCTGGTCACTGGGACACAGCTGCCCTCGCCCATTCTAAAAAGTCAGCGCCCTCAGGCCCGCGGGTAACCACTTCATCCTGAGCACGGTGACCAGGTCACAGGCTGTCCCTCGTGCCTCAGTGTTCTCATCTGTATGTCGAGCACTGCACAGAATCGGATCATGCGCTGAGGCTTTCACGCCTGTGATGGAAGAGACAGAGAAGGGGGTGGCCTCTCCTCTCCCTGGGGACCTGCCATTCTCAGCACAGGCGCCTGGCAGGCAGCAGCCTCCCTTCTGCCAGCAGAGGGGCTTAATGCACCCCTCTCCATTTGTAATTCATGTGCAGTGAGCTCACTGGGATGAGTCAGTTCGGATATATATTCCTCCCTGGGTCTGCCCCATTTTATGGGGTGTTGCTTAATCATTTGCGTTATTCCATTGACATAAAATATTTAGCACTCAGAGATCAATTTTAGTCAGGAGAAATTTGTGCATTTTTAACCCAAAATAGAAACCTTCATAAAAGCATCATAGGTCTCCATTCAATATTGACTATAGTTGTTCACATGCCCACACTGAATGCTAACTTCGGCTCACCCTCAACACTGACGAGGTGGGTACTATTATTATCACTCACTTTTGACCAGAGAGATTGTTTGATTAGGGTGAAGTAGTTGAGAGTTCAGACCCAGGAGACAGCCTGCCTGCTTCGAATCCTGGCCCAACCCCTGGCCCTGTGTGACCTTGGGCAAGTGACTGCATCTCTCTGTGCTATTGTTTTCTTATTAATAAAATGGGGGATATAATGATACCTACCTCTTAGGGTTGTTGTCAGCGTTGAGTACAAAAGCCTGTGGATCAGTGCCTGGCTCATGGTAAATGCATGTCGGTGTTAGCTGGTGTTTTTATTCAGTCACAAAATGTTTAATAAATGCCTTCCATGAGCCAGGCACCATGGATCAGCAGTACCCATGATAGATGAGGCTCTGCTTGCATGGGAGAGCCAGAGAATAAACAAATAAATGAATAAACAAGAAAAGACCAGATGAGAGTGGCTTTAAAGCCAATAAAACAGGGAAATGGTGAATGGAGCAACTGGGGAGAAGAGTCACCAAGGTCGGGGAATCAGGGAAGCCTTCCCCAAAGAGGTGGTATTTGAACTGGGGCCTGAGTGGTGAGGCAGCCAGCCATGGGAAGGGCTTGGGGAACAGGATATGCAAAGGCCCTGTGGTGGAAACAAGCCAGCTATGGTTGAGGAAAAACAGCAAGGCAGCCAGTGTGGCTGGAGTGGAGTGAGCAGGGTGGGCCAGGGGTGAGGGAGAACAGGCCAGAGAGAGGGATTAGGACCAGGTCTTGTAGGGCCTTTTATGGCATGGAAGGAGCTCTGAAGCAATGAAGTGCCTTGCCGTGGGTCACATACCAGCCGAGACAGTTTGCCTAACTCAGGAGCCAAAGCTTGCTGCTGGGCTTGAGGCCCCTGTAAGAGGACAATGTAACCCAGGCTGGTATGAGCACATTCTGCATTTCTACTTAAACTCAGATGGCAAGCCCATCAAACCTTGTTGCCATGGCTGCCCTGGTAATTCCTGGCTGACCAGTGCAACCAGGGAGCTGGCCCATGACCCGGGTGGCCGCTAAGTAGCCATGACTAATGCGGCCAAGAGTCAGTCTTCTTCCTGTGACTCATCCAATTGCACCCAGCGACATCTGAAGGTCAGGCTTTCAGCCACTGTGGCTTCCACTTCCAACTGGCTCCACGTCCCCAGGGAGGGATCACATAGCGCTTTGCCAACACATTCTATTGCGTGTTTTAATGTTCCTGTGAATGCGCCCTTGAGATTTCTCTCTCTCCCGTCCACACAGAGCTTAGAAGCAAAGTTAAGAGACTCATCAGATTCTGAGCTGCTGCGGGATATTTTGCAGAAGGTAAGAATCCCAGAGTCCCTGGGACTCATGACCCTGCCTCCTGAATCTCTCCGGAAGACCTGAGAGAAGAACCATAGGTGTGCTTATACCCTTTAAAAACACCCCTGTTCAAAGAACAAAACCATTGAGTCAGCACTGCAGGTGGGTGTCAGCACCTCCGACAGCTCCTGCACTTTCGTTGTCTATCTAAGACTTAGACAAAGACATCAGAATATACAAAAATCTGCAAGAGGGGTGAAATCTAGCGAATGTTTTTTAAACCATCCACAGCAAAAACAGAGATGACAGGTACAAAACAGCTTCTAGCATTTGGTAGATGCTCAGAGACTTTCTTTTTTGCATTCATGAGGCCTGTCCTGCCCACTCCTGTCTCTTCTAGACCTAAATGGGCCCTTGCTTTGCCCAGGGTGGGGTTTGGACTCAAGTGCATCTGCATGCAGGTGAGAGCCAGGATCACCACCCGGCCCAGCTAGAGGCTGACCTTGGCCTTGAGGGCCAAGTGCAGATCACCCTGCATCCTGGGTCTTCACCTTCGAAGGGCCATGAGCCCTTCTGAAAAGACAAAGCAATAGACTCCCTCCCAGAAAGAAGTACACCAGAAGAATATGTTTTCCATACAAACTCAGGGGAGACAGACATCCTCCACCCCCACCCACCCAGCCCATCCTAGGAGCCCCGGTGAAGAATTCCTGTGCTAGAGGTGAACCAAGATTATCCACATGGAAAAGATGCAGACACAGCAGGGAAGACTTTCGGGGCAATACAGTAGGTCAGGGCTTCGATCATGGAGATACCTGAAGTTATCTCACACCCTGCTCTGAGTTTCACCCTAAGCCTCACTCTCATAGGTGGTGAAGCATGAAATGTTGGGAGAGCTGCTTTAAAACCCAGCACAAGGCTGGGTGCACTGGCTCACACCTGTAATCCCAGGACTCTGGGAGGCTGAGGTGGACGGATCACCTAAGGTCAGGAGTTCAACACCAGCCTAGCCAACATGGTAAAAACCCATCTCTACTAAAAATAAAAAAATTAGCTGGGCGTGGTGGTGCACGCCTATAGTCCCAGCTACTCGGGAGGCTGAGGCAGGAGAATCGCTGAACCCAGGAGGCGGAGGCTGCGGTGAGCCAAGATCGGGCCACTGCACTCCAGCCTGGGCAACAGAGCGAGACTCTGTGTCAGAAAAAATGAAAAACCAACACCAGCATGAAGAGCCAGTGTATTGTGTGGGGTACTTTGCTGCCCTTGGGCAGAATCTGCATCCCACCCAGCCAGCAGGAGCTGCGGACTGTCTCCTCCCTCTCCCTCCAGGCTCCTGATTTCCCACCATCCCCACTCCTGCTACACCAGTCCCTCTGCCCTCCTTTCCAAGGGCCAGCCCGTGCCCACCTCAGAGCTTGCACAGGCTGTTCCCACTGCCTGGAACTTGCTCATCCTGCACTTGGCTTCTCTCGGCTTTAGTGGGAGTGTCACCCTGAGCGTTCCCTCCCCTCCATCCTGTCCCCAGGGACACACGCTCCAAGAGAGCAGTTGCTGAGTGGGCCTTCCCGCCTCTTCCATAAAGCCAGACAGTTGGCGACTGTCCTTACAGCAAACCCTGGTTCACACTGGCTCCCCTGGGAGGGAGGTGGTTTGGGCCCACATGCCCTGTGTTCCTGCTCAGAATGGGCATTAGAAATGCTGCCATAGCCTGTGCCACTGCAGTGGAAGCATCTTTAGAAAACGGCTTATATCTTAAGACAAACTTCAGATGCGTGGGGCCAGAACGCCGTGTCCATGTACATCTTTGCTGAGGGATCGGGTAGCCTGGAGTTTGCCCTCTGCTGTGTTGGCTTGAAGCTCATAGGAGACTTAAGATGGGCTCTCGAGCAACCAACGTTCTGTCCTTTGCCGTAGACTGTGAAGCATCCTGTGTGTGTGTGAAGCACCCGCCGTCAGTCAAGAAAGCCCGGTGCTTTCTCTCAGAACTCATCAAAAAGGTCAGTTATGGGCAGTGTCCGCCCAGTAGCCGGACAGCATAGCCACCTGCGTGCTGGAGACCCCATCCTTCCCAGGCCCTGGGCCTTCTTTGCAAACCCCAGCATGGCAGGGGCCTCCCCAGGCAACTGGCTGCATCTGAGTGTGACCCATGGGAGACAGTGCAGGGCAGGAAGAAGGGGAGGCCAGCGTCTCTCCCTCACTCTGCCTCCTGGGGTTTCCACAGCAGCTGCTTCTCTGGGGCGCCAGCTCCTAGCATATGAATTCTCATTCCTACCAGGCTGGTCCAGCCCACAGCACTGGAACCCTCACCCACACCCTCTGTCCTGCCCGCTGAAGGGTTTGGAGTTTCCTGCTCTTGTCCGTCTCTGGGTTGCCCCACGGGCCCCTTTTGGAAGATTTAGCTCTTGCCATACCTTTGGAACTAGTTCCTCTGGTGAATTCTCTGCTTTGATCCTGCTGGAATGAGCTCTTTCCTGACTGATATAGGATGGATTTTATTTTTTACTTATTTATTTACTTTTTTGAAACAGTCTCACTGTGTTGCCCAGGCTGGATTACCGTGGCACAATCTCAGCTCCCTGAAACCTCTGCCTCCTGGGTTCAAGCAATGCTCATGTCTAGCCTTCTAAGAAGCTGGGACTACAGGCACACGCCACCATGCCCGGCTAATTTTTGTATTTTTAGTAGAGACAGAGTTTCACCATGTTGGCCAGGCTGGTCTCGGACTCCTGACCTCAGGTGATCCGCCTGCCTTGGCCTCCCAAAATGCTGGGATTACAGGCATGAGCCACCTCACCTGGCCTAGGATGGATTTTAAAGATGGGCCTGAATATGCAGGGTTTGACATGGGGATGTCGAGAGGCCATTCCTCAGTAGGCAGAAGCAGACTTGCTGAATGAAAGGGCCACACTTTTAGCAAATAAACAATCCCCTGCTTCTCCAATACCTGCTTTCTCCCTAGTCCTCCCCAAAAGGGTGCATCTGTGGTCACCAGCAGTTCTGCCCTGTGCCACCAGGAGAGGGCAGCAGTCACCTAGTGTACCCTTCTGCTGCCCTATGAATCATAGGACGGGGCCAGCTGTGGAGAAGCAGCCTGCTGACAGCCACAGCCTGCAGCATGGGCCGCCCTCACAGTTCTGTCTGGGCTCACTTAAAAGCACCTTTTGTTTTCCTCCTCTCTGTGTTTGATCCAAACACAGAGCTCTCTGTCGTGGTCAGGTGGCAGCTCTCACGGAATCCTTGTCTCCTGCCCTAGACTACATCTAACCCTACCCTCTCAACACCTCTTGTTGAAGGCCCTCCCGTTCATGTTTCCCTACCAAGTGGAATTATTTTTTTTTAGAGACAAGATCTCTGTTGCCCAGGCTGTCCTGGAACTCCTGGGCTCAAGCAGTCCTCCCATGTCAGCCTCTAGAGTAGCTGGAACTATTCGGCACACACCACCATGCCCAACGAAGTGAATATTTTATATGCCAGCTGGCCGGTGTTACACCATTCCATCCCAAATCTCCCCTCCAAACTTGGTGAAAATCATCTGGCCATTTTTACAGATTAGAACAAAAGCAAACAAGCTCTCACTCTGTCTGCCCCCAGCACGAGGCTGTCCACATGGAGGCTTTGGACGAGCTGTATGAGGCACTGGCAGAGACCCTGATGGCCAAGGAGTCCACCCAGGGCCACCGGAGTTATTTGCTGGTATGAGAAGGGCACCCTCCTCCCCCTCACAGCCCAGATACACTTCCTGCACAGACAAAGTGAAAATGTGGGTGTGGGTTCAAATTCTGACTCACCCATTCTGCAGTCTTAGACATGAAGTCCATTAACCTTCTTTAGCCTCAGTTTCCCTGTCTGTAAATCAAGCACTTCAACAACAACAGCATGTCTCGTGGGGTTGTTGGGCATTTGTCCAATAGGTGACACACACTACCTGCTTCACAAGGACCTGGTGCCCAGTCCTCAAAGAATACTTGACAGGGCTGGACATGGTGGCTCATGCCTGTAATCCCAGCACTTTGGGAGGCCAAGGCGGGTGGATCTGAGGTCAGGAGTTCGAGACCAGCCTGGCCAATATGGTGAAACCCTATCTCTACTAAAAATACAAAAATTAGGCCAGGCGTGGTGGCTCATGCCTATAATCCCAGCACATAGGGAGGCTGAGGCAGGGGGATCACCTGAAGTCAGGAGTTTGAGACCAGCTTGGCCAACATGGTGAAACTCCATCTTTACTAAAAATACAAAAATTAGTGGGGTGTGGTACTGGGCGCCTGTAATCCCAGCTGCTCAGGAGGCTGAGGCAGGAGAATCTCTTGAACCTGGGAGGTGGAGGTTGTAGTGAGCTGAGATCGTGCTATTGCACTCCGGCCTCGGCAACGAGAGCGAATCTCTGTCTCAAAAAAAAGTACAAAAATTAGCCGGACATGGTGGCACACAACTGTAGTCACAGCTACTTGGGCGGCTGAGGCAGGAGAATTGCTTGAACCCAGGAGGCAGAGGTTGCAGTGAGCCAAGATCGTGCCACTGACTCCAGCCCGGGTGACAGAGCTCAAAAAAAAAAAAAATAAAACATAGATACAGAAAACCACAAAGGAAAAACATAGCATATTGAATCATCACAAGGCAGCCATCCCTTCATAGCCACACCTGGCCCCTGGCCACCACTGACCTGTGCTCCATCACCAGAATTCTGTTGTCTCAGCAATGTTCGATGAATGGACTCCAGTGTGGCCTGAGTGTCTTTCATGCTATGTGACACCCTTGAGGTCTGTGCAAGCTGTTGGTATGTCAACAGTTAGCTGCTTCTCATTGCTGAGTGGCGATTGGTCCTGTCATGGTTTATTCAGACATATGGTGGATGGCTACTTGTCTTCTAAGCCACTTGCCTTCTGATCGCTGGACTTACTCTCTCGCCCTCTCTTGGTGCAGCCCTCGGGAGGCTCAGTCACACTCTCCGAGAGCACAGCCATCATCTCCCATGGTACCACAGGCCTGGTCACATGGGATGCCACCCTCTACCTTGCAGAATGGGCCATCGAGAACCCAGCAGCCTTCACTAACAGGTGACCTTGTGGCACAGGGCAGGGCACTGAGGCAGGCTTACCCTGGTGCAGTTGAAGACACGGTCCCCTTTCCTCCCACCAGGACTGTCCTAGAGCTTGGCAGTGGTGCCGGCCTCACAGGCCTGGCCATCTGCAAGATGTACCGCCCCCGGGCATTCATCTTCAGTGACTGTCACAGCCGGGTCCTCGAGCAGCTCCGAGGGAATGTCCTTCTCAATGGCCTCTCATTAGAGGCAGACATCACTGCCAACTTAGACAGCCCCAGGGTGACAGTGGCCCAGCTGGACTGGGACGTAGCGACGGTCCATCAGCTCTCTGCCTTCCAGCCAGATGTTGTCATTGCAGCAGGTAATGGCCAGCCCCAGGCATCCTGTGCAGGTGGTGTCCATGCAGCTCTACCCAGCCCTTGGCTCTGGGAAAAGGGAACAATGGACGCTGTCGGGAATGGACATGATGGGGCTTCCAGAAGAGGTACTCTGGGCCTCCAGGGTGACATCAAAGGACAGGGGTGCCTCTTAAGGTGACCTTCAAGCCACAGACCTCTTGTTGGATACAGGCATACTCCCGTTTCAGTCATCACCACATGGCTCTGTCCCAGAGCCATGCCCTGTGTCCTTCAGAGACCACAGGAGGAAAACAACCACTTCTGAGATGAGGACAGGGCCCTTGAGAGAAGGTGGTGTTTGGCTGGGCCACCGAAAACCCCTCACCCCTGCCAGCACACTCAGTCCCCTCTCTGGTGGAACAGAGCTCTGCCTGTGGTCCTGGGTTCCAGCCCTGAAACCCACAGGTCCAGCGGTGGCCAGGGACACAGGCCCACCCCCTCAAGCCAGCAGACCAATTGGCAGACACCTGAAACACGAAGTTCACGGCAGGGTCAGGCTTTCTGTCATTCAAAGCCCTCTAGATAGGCCGAGAACCAGAGCTGGTTTTTTAAGGAACACCAGTGAGTCTGGAGATTTTTTTCTTTTGCTTCGGTCTTTTGCAGCTTTCTCTACTAAGGGTTCTCCTTTTTCACCCAAGTAATTGCCTTTCCATCTAATGGCCCAAATGGTCAAATGGCATCTAATAGTCTCATATGACCGCTGCCTCTCTGGCCTCGCCCTGCTGCTGAGGTCAGTATGAACTGGAACTTTCCACTTATCCCTTTCAGTAACCTGAAGCTTTCACCGTAGACGTGCTGTATTGCCCAGAAGCCATCGTGTCGCTGGTCGGGATCCTGCGGAGGCTGGCTGCCTGCTGGGAGCACCAGCAGTCTCCTGAGGTCTACGTGGCCTTTACCGTCCACAACCCAGAGACGTGCCAGCTGTTCACCACCGAGCTAGGTGAGCCCCCACGCCCACCTGGGCCTGCATGGTCCCCGAGCTGTCCCTGCGGGACTCCAGTGGAAGTGAAAGAACTGGGCGCCGGGGAAAAGCTAGGATGCCCCACACTCCCACATCATGCGGGGAACTCAGGCAGAGGCCGGCGAGCAGGGTGGGCTTGGGGTGTGGGGGGCTTGCGGCAGGAGGAGGGCGGCTCAGCAGAGGGAGGGAGGGTCTGAGCCCAGCAGCCCTACTATGTGCTTCAGAGCAGGGTTCCCTAAGCCCTTGGGCCTTGGTTTCATCTATAAAATGGAGGTGGTGGGAGGGGCAGTCGGGGTCATGGCTGGACACAGCTGTGGCCTGCAGGACGCTGGAGCACAGGCTGTACAGGCTGATCCACCACACCACTGTCCTGAGCACCCAGTTGATGGAAGACGAGCAGGGTGACTATAGAGAAGGGGAACTTCTCAGTGGGCCAACCACTGTCCTCAGACCTGACGTTTGTCAGCCCCCAGCACCTGTGAGGGTGTGCTGTCATTGTCCCATCTCACCGACAAAGACATTAGGACACACAGAGGCCAAGCGACCCTCGAGCTCCTGCAGACTGCAGCCCGGCCACCAGGCTCTCGTGCCTCCACACTACACCCAAGCCTCCCAATGCCACCAGCCTCTGCCCCAGCTCCCCCTGAGCACAGCCCCTCCTGGCAGCCATGTGCACAGATGCACCCGCAGCAGCCTCTGCCTGCACACAGAGACACAGACAACCCAGTGCCTGTCCACGTGGGGCAGCCCGTTAACTACAGAGCCAACAAACAAGCCAGCACATGAAGGCATACTGGGTTCCACGACAGAGTCCCGCACAACCTCGCACAGGAGGCTGGCCGGGCGCGGGGCTCAGGCCTGTCATCCCGGCACTTTAGGAGGCTAAGAAAGGAGGACTACTTGACCCCAGTTGTTCAAGAAAAACCTGGGCCACATAGTGGGACCCTGTCTTCACAAAACATACAGAAACTAGCCAGATGTGGTTGCACACACCTGTAGTCCCAGCTACTCAGGAGGCTGAGGTGGGAGGATGGCTTGAGCCCACGAGGTGGAGGCTGCAGTGAGCCCTGATCTCACCACTGCACTCCAGCGTGGGCAACAGAGCAAGACCCTATCTCAAAAAAGCAAAAAACCAAAAAAAAAAAAAAAAAAAGGAAGTCTTTCTTCAGATACTTACGTGAAAAAAAACCTGCAATATCTTTTAAATAAAAACAACAGTGCCAAGCAGCACACATAGTATAAGCCCCCGCCCACCTTTTTTTTTTTTTTTTCTTTTTGAGACAGAGTCTGGCTTTGTATTGCCCAGGCTGGAGTGCAGTGGTGCCATCTCGGCCCACTGCAACCTCCTACCTCCCAGGTTCAAGCTATCCTCCCATCTCAGCCTCCTGAATAGCTGGGACTACAGGTGCGTGCTACCACGCCTGGCTAATTTTTGTATTGTTTGTAGAGTTGAGGTTTCGCCATGTTGGCCAGGCTGATCTTGAACTCCTGACCTCAAGTGATCTGCTGTCTCAGCCTCCCAAAGTGTTAGGAATACGGGCGTGAGCTACTGCGCCCAGCCCCAGTTTTGTTTAAAAACTAATAATAATCACCCACACATGGTTATGAGTACCTATATTCCAACTACTCAAGAGGCTGAGGTGGGAGGATGGCTTAAGCCCAGGAGTTTGTGGCCACCTTGAGCAACATAGCAAGACTTCATCTCAAAAAAAATTTATCACAATAATCATTTTCACATAAGTATACCTATAGGGGAAAACCTAGAACATCTATATAGCAGGCTTGTCCAACCTGTGGCCCAACACAAATCTGTAAACTTTCTTAAAACAATATGAGGTTTTTTTGTGATTTTTTTTTTTTCTTTGAGCTCAACAGCTATTCTAGCTTTAGTGTATTTTATGTGTGGCCCAAGGCGATTCTTCTTCTTCCAATGTGGCGCAGGGAGGCCAAAAGATTGGACATCCCTGATATACACGTTAACAGGTGCCATCCTTGGATGGCAGGATTATAGAGATTTCTACACGTTCATATCTGTACTACGTCATTTTTATGAATACGCATTTTCCACTTGTAACAAAAAAAGTGACTGAAAATCATCCCGGGTCACAGTGTCTCATGCCTGTAATCCCAACACTGTAAGAGGCTGAGGCTTTGGGAGGCTGAGGTGAGCAGATCACCTGAGGTCAAGAGTTCAAGACCAGCCTGGCCAACACAGTGAAACCCTATCTCTACTAAAAACACAAAAATTAGCCAGGCGTGGTGGTGCACGCCTATAATACCAGCTACTCGGGAGGCTGAGGCAGGAGAATCACTTGAACCTGGGAGGCGTTGCAGTGAGCTGAGATTGCACCACTGCACTCCAGCCTGGGGAACAGAGTAAAACTCCATCTAAAAAATAATAATAAAAGAGGCTGAGGAAGGAGCATCGATTGAGGCCATGCGTTCAGGACCCCATCTCTACAAAATAAAAAAATTACTGGCATGGTGGCATGCATCTGTCATCCCAGCTACTCAGGAAGTGGGAGGATTGCTAGAGCCCAGGAGTCGAGGCTTTAGTGAGCAATGACTGTGCCGCTGCACTCCAGTCTGGGTGACAGAACAACATCGTATCGCAAAAAAAAAAAAAAAAAAAAAAAGAATCATCCTGGCTAATGGCTGTTCAGACATCTGTGCTTATGAGAACACCAGCCCCTTCTAAGCTGTGTGTGTGTGTGTGTGTGTGTGTGTGTGTGTGTGTGTGTGTGTTTTGAGATGGAGTCTCACTCTGTCACTCAGGCTGGAGTGCAGTGGCACAATCTCGGCTCACTGCAACCTCCGCCTCCTGGGTTGAAGCAGTTCTCCCGCCTCAGCCTCCCAAGTAGCTGGGATTACAGGCACCCGCCATCGTGCCTGGCTAATTTTTGTATTTTCGTAGAGATGGGGTTTCACCATGTTGGCCAGGCTGGTCTCGAACTCCTGAAGACAAGTGATCCGCCCGCATAGGCCTCTCAAAGTTTTGGGATTACAGGCATAAGCCACTGTGCCCGGCCACTTTCTAAGCTTTGTGAAGAGTGAGTTGACTGAGCAGCCAGGTAGATGTGGGTTCAGATCTCTGCTTCTGTCCTGCTGTGCCAAGTGCTGGGGCAGACGCGGGCAGAGAGTGGACAGTGGCATGGTGCCTGCTGCTAGCCATTTCTATGCAAAACCAGATTTCTAGTCCCATCCTGGTGGCCAATTCTAGGTACCTGGGTGGGCCTGGGAACCTGTGAAACAAGTAAACTGACTTAGACACCCCCTACCCCACCAGGCCTGTCCTAGCAGCCCCACACAAAACGCTCACGTCCTGTCCCCAAACACCGCCATCCTCAAGCACGTGCTCTGTTTCCAGGCCGGGCTGGGATCATATGGGAAGCGGAAGCTCATCATGACCAGAAACTGTTTCCCTATGGAGAGCACTTGGAGATGGCAATGCTGAACCTCACACTGTAGGACTCACACACGACTCCAACGGGATTGTGAGAATCAAGTCAATCTCATGGGAAGAATTTTTATATGGGAAAGCGGATAAAACTTTCATTGTACTGGAATGTTTGGAGAATGTTAAATTCCAAATCAGAAACCACAAACTGCCCTCTAATAAGACATCGGCTATCTAAGCGTGTGGGTGCCCCCTTTCTGCCAGCAGTTCTGGTTCTTACGAAAATCACCATATATCAGACATGAAAATTCTGGCTTTGTGCAGATAAAAAAGTGTGTATCAAGTATGACGTTCCCCCAATGTGGACACACTTGGTTCCTCAGAAAGCCAAGCCCACTGCAGCTGCCACATCCCTGGACACACTCGGTTCCTCACAAAGCCAAGCCCGCTGCAGCTGTCACATCCCTGGACACACTCGGTTCCTCACAAAGCCAAGCCCACTGCAGCTGCCACATCCCTGAGCCTATGGTGCAGCAGGTGCTTTTTTCAAGACAGGGATCAAAGTGTTAGGAACACGGCAGAAAGGTGACACCTGGAGACCAAATGCAGGATGAGGAGTACTGCAGAGGTCACAGGGAAGTCAGAGAACAGTAATACGCTAACAGGGGCACGGGGCATGAAGAACAAAAGACAGGAAGCGTTTCAGAGACTCCAAAGAAGAAATCAGGGCCAACCACAGCTTCCCGGGTCATTCACCAGGTGGCACCACTGCCGTCATTTCAGCTTCTGGCCACTGGGAGGCGCTGCTCGAAAGGGTTTGCCCTGACACTCCAAGAAGCTGCGGGAAGGACAGCAGGGGCCCTGGGGTTTTAGCCTCTGGCCCAGGAGTTATGTGTCCATAACCAAAGGGAGCACAGTCTGCACCCAGCTCTCATCCCATCAGAGCTGCTGCGACTCCTGCAGGTTCTTCCGGAACTGGTTTAGCTTGCCTGCAGGATCAGGAAAGTTTGAGAAAAGCATCTGCAAAATACTAAAGAGCAGAGCTTACCTCATTGCCTGTCCCCACCCCATCCCAGGTCACCACCTGGCTGACCCCAGGTCCCCGACCCAACAACAACCCCTCCCAAGTCCCTAACTCCCTCACTTGGACTTGAGACCCTTCACACCCCAGCAGCGCTCCGCCTCCCACTTGACATCATGCTTTCTGGAAACTTCCCCGTATGTCCCACTTTCCCACACTTGGTGCCCTGGAGCACCTTCCGGCCTCTACATGCTGTACGTTCCCCTGTGAGCACCCTCCTCTCGGCCTCTGGCCAACACAGTCCCACCCATCTGTGGGTAACAAGGGGGAGTGGGTGTTCTTTTCAGCCTTGCTAAACTCTCTGAATCAAGGATCACAAACTACAGCCTGCAGGCCAAATCCAGCCCACAGCCTGTGTTTGTAAATAAAGCTTTATTGGAAGAAAGCCACACCCCTTAATCTACAGATGATCTGTGGCTACTTTCACACCACAACAGAGTACCATGGTTCTGACAGAGACTGGGGGACCCAGTCTAAATGACTTCTGACCTGGACCTTTACTGAAAATCCTCCCAATCATTCTGTTGACAAGAATGATGTATTACTTTTTGCAATAAGAAACAAGTAACCTTTGCAGAATTCCACCCATCTTTCAAGGCTGGTCCCAGAAGTTCCCTTAGCCCATGCACCTACCTGATCCTGATCACTTCCTAAACTGCAGCCTGGCCCACCTGGATCCAGCATCATTTGTGGCGTGTCAGCTCCATAAATCCAGAGGGCAGGTGGCGTTGTGTCCTAACTTTCCCGAGCCTACTGTACTGAAACAGGACAGCAGAGTAGGCCAGCCTCTGTGACTTCTGCTCCCTCCCTAGCTTTTCCACCAGACCCCCCATGGTCCCACCCTGGCTGTGGGAAGCAGGGATCAGGGAGTGTGGCTCGGTGCCAGTCTCCAGAACCCTGCCCACCCTGGCGTGGTGGCAGACATGGCTACCTGCAGCTGAGCTGCCAGTTCCTCTGAGTCCTCAAAGACCAGGCCATTTTCTTCATGTTTCACCAGCTCATGTAAACTGCAGAGAGAACCAAGGGAACCCGAGAGCTTCCTGGAGAAGACACCAGACCCCTGGGGTGCCCAGCTGGGCTCCCACCCACCCCACGCTCAAGCCAGGCTGGGGGTTGGAACAGGGGGTGTGGTTTCTGGGAGCTGGTTCTTAGATTTGGCATCTGAAGGGTATAAAGGCCTGGCGGGGGTGCACATCAAAATGGCCAAACCGATTTGAGGAGGGAGCCTTAAGGAGGGTTTGTACCTTCTGTGCTGGATGCTCTTCAAGGACTGAAGAATTATTTTTGCATGTTTTTCTAAATTCCATGGCCATGGAACAAGTAAATGCAACCCCCTGGGGACTGGTTCAGCACATAAAAGATGACTTTTCTAGGACACCAGATTTGATCCCGACATTCCCTGAGCTCAGCTCACATGAGGGGCTCGCATCCCTGAATCCCATCCAGAGGCCGTCTCCTGAGCAGGGGCCAAGGGCTCAACTTGTGCTGGGGCTACTGCTTCTAGAATCTCCTCTAACGCCACCCTTCCAAACACTTGTCTATGCTGGGTGAAGTGAGGCCACAGCATGACACTCATTTAACTGATTCAAACCCAGCACGTGAGGTTGACCAAAAGGGACATGGTGGGAGAGAAAAACAAAGAAAACCATGTAAGCCTGCAGGCAATTCCTGCCAATTCTACTCTAGGAGCAAAAGCCCCGAGTGGAGTTCTAGTATTTAAGGTGCTTTTTTTTTATATTAGGTTGGTGAAAGAGTAATTGCCATTTTTAATGGAAAAATGGTGATTACTTTTCTACCAACCTAAATATAACATGAGTTCTAAATGGAAGCAACTACTTCAGTGAGGCTCAGCCCAGGCACAGTAACCGCAGGGCTCCTCCTCATGGCCTCCAGTGTGTGCTAGACTGACCGAGGGGCAGGGCCTCACTGTGAGCAGCTCACTCTGCACTGCTTCCCCCTCAGCGGTGGATCTGTGAAGCTATCCCCAGAAAGATTCGGGTTCTGCTCCTACCACTTGAAGTTCACGGCACACGCAGGCAAACAGCTCCTGAACATGTCCACCACCTTCATGGGCAGGTCCAGGCCACTGGAGGACGTGTGCAGACAGACACCCAGGTCCGCCGACCCTGCTAGGCAAGAGGGGTGGGTCAGAGCGCTGGTCTGTGCCCTGGGAACACAAATCCTCCCAGCACAGTGAGACAACATCCCCCGAGGGGAGTGAGAATTGGATAAAGCCCCCGACAGCCCCAAGCACAAGTGGCTTAAGCTGGCCAAGCAGCCACACGGCCTGGCTGGGACATCTGAAAATGTAAGCTGACACTTCTTATACATAACCACAATTTGTCTTTTGTTGTTGTTGTTGTTTTGTTTTGTTTTGTTTTGAAACAGAGTCTCACTCTGTCACCCAGGCTGGAGTGCAGTGGCACAATCTCAGCTCACTGCAACCTCCACCTCCCAGGTTCACCTCCCGCCTGTAATCCCAGCATTTTGGGAGGCCAAGGTGGGTGGATCACCTGAGGTCAGGAGTTCAAGACCAGCCTGGCCAACATAGTGAAACACCATCTCTACTAAAAAAAATACAAAATTAGCGAAGCGTCATGGCAGGTACCTGTAATCCCAGCTACTCAGGAGGCTGAGGCAGGAGAATCGCTTGAACCCGGAAAGGCAGAGGTTGCAGTGAGCCAAGATCGCGCCATTGCACTCCAGCCTGGGCTACAAGAGCGAAACTACATCTCAAAATAATAATAATAATAATAATAATAATAATAATAATAATAAACCACAGCACACCCACCACAAACCAGCTGTCAGTGTGAAAATAAAGCCAAATAGCTTAACATTTCTAAAGACTAGCTGGGGCCAGACATGATGGGTCATGCCTGGAATCCCAGCACTTAGAGAGGCCAAGGCAAGAGGATCACTTGAGGTCAGGAGTTCAAGACCAGCCTGGCCAACATGGTGAAACCCTGTCACTACTAAAAATACAAAAATAAGCCAGGTGTTGTGGCGGGCTCCTGTAATCCTGTAATCTACTTGGGAGGCTGAAGTGGAAGAATCGCTTGAACTCAGGAGGCGGAGTTTGCATGAACTGAGATCATGCACTCCAGCCTAGGCAACGGAACAAGACTATCTAAAACAAAGACTAGCTGGAGAATCCTGCCAGGAAAAGGCCCTCAGCCTCCAACTGCTCTGCTCACTCGAAGCTGGAAGATGCGGCTCTAGAGACCCATCAGGACCAAGCCACGACTCCCCACTTGGAGAAATCAACGGGGAAAGAGACGGAGGCAAAGGAGAACCATCTAACTGGGAGAGGCGATGCTGTTTGACACATCGTCCCTGTACCTCCCAAAGCCACTGCCCTCCCACACCTGGGCAACAGTGGCCCCAACCCCAGGCACAGCCCTCCTGCAGGAAGGAAGAGGACTGAATGGAGGGCGTGGCCGACTGAAAGGACGTGGCCTCCTCAAACCCCTTGGTAAAGGGCCTCTGGGGCCACCTGGCAGGGAGGGGCTGGCATACCAGGAAGTACCCTCCACCCGGGAGTTCAGCCAGAGCCCAGGTCCTGTCCGCAAGTGGCCTCCAGAGCCACCTTTTCAGAAAATGTACATCCCGCCCACCCCTGCTCCCCCTGCTTAAGGCCCCGCCTCCTCCCTGAGCCTCCTGCTGGCCTCTCACCTAGAAGCGGGGGTAGTCCTCGGCCCTCCAGCCAGGGGGTGCAGACCTGGATGTGCTGGAAATGCTTCTGGTAGATGAGGCGGCTGTAATACTCCCTCAGAGGCCCTTTGCCTTCACAGAGAAGAGCAGACACTGCCATGGACCCGTCTCTGTCCCTGCCACATGGCCCCAGGCCCAAGACACTCCCCGCTAGGAGGGATCCCTTTCCCAGAAGCTCCACCCCTCAGCAGCTCCAGTCAGGCCCTATCTGGGCCCTTCCAGGAGCAACCCAGGAGCCCCGAGACCTGCAGGGGTGTGTGCACCCTGACCCCTGACACATAGCCCTGCACCTGCAACCAGCTGGCCTCGGGCTGCAAACAAGGCGGGGTAAGCACTAGCCTGGCACCCGACCGCCCACTGGGTGGACCCAGCCTTCTGTCCGTGTTGTGCGCAGGGTACACGAGGAATCTCCCTGCCCTGGCACAGCCCTCAGAGCACATGGCGCAGGTTCCAAGCTGCCCCTGCCCTGCCACAGCCCCCAGAGCACATGGCGCGGATTCCGAACCACTCCTGGAAGCCTAGAGGCCAGAGGAGGGAGGAGAGCAGGACCAGCAGCTGGCCCAGACCCCGCTTCTTCCCACACCGCTTCCACTTTTCTCCCTCTTCACTGAGTCATCTTGAAAGGGCTCAGCAGCAGTAACTGTGGGACAGGGGCTCTTCCGTTTGAAAAATTAAAAAAGGCTTGGTTAAGGCACCAATGACATGGCCGGGCACAGTGGTTCATATCTAAAATTCCAGCATATTGGGAGGCCAAGGCGGGTGGATAACCTGAGGTCAGGAGTTCAAGACCAGCCTGGCCAACATGGTGAAAACCTGTTTCTACTAAAAATACAAAAATAAGCTGGATGTGGTGGGCAACTGTAGTCCCAGCTACTCGGGAGGCTGAGGCATGAGAATTGCTTGAATGTGAGATGCGGAGGTTGCAGTGAGCTGAGATCGCACCACTGCACCCCAGCCTGGGCGACAGAGACTTTGTCTCAAAAAAAAAAAAAAAAAGACACCAATGACGTAACAACAAAAAAAAAGATGCTTGGAAACTACTGAAAAAGTAGAAAGCTTGGTATCTACAGATTCAAATCTGGGCTCCCTGCCCTGCTGTGAAACCCTCTGAGCCTCAGTTTCCCACATGTCAAGCAGTATAAGACCCTATGGCAGAGAGCTGCAGTGAGGATTAAGGAGACAAGATCGTGGGAAGCACAGGGTAAAGGCTGCGTGCCCCTCCCCCTCTGCCATCCCCCAACGAAACAGACACCCAGGGTCCCAGGCGGTACCTGTTATCACACAGACGAGAGAAGGAAAGTTGTGTCCGTGAAGAGTCAGTTGTTCAAACTCTGTGTTTAAAAAAGAAACAATTCTACATGGAATTTCTGATAGATTTTTTTTTTTTCTTTCTGACAGACTCTTGCTCTGTCACCTAGGCTGGAATGCAATGGTGTGATCTCAGCTCACTGCAACCTCTGCCTCCCGGGTTCAACTAATTCTCGTGCATCAGCCTCCCAAGTAGCTGGGATTACAAGCGCCCACCACCATACCTAGCTAATTTTTGTATTTTTAGTAGAGACAGTTTTCACCATGTTGGCCAGGTTGGTCTCGAACTCCTGACCTCAGGTGATCTGCCTGCCTCAGCCTCCCAGAGTTCTAGGATTACAAGTGTGAGCCACCATCCCCATTCAGAAAAAAATTTTTGAATAAACAATAGCCAGAGTCACCTGGTCAGGTGGAGAAAGTGCACTGCTCTGGCAGGGAGTCCCCCAGCCTCTGTGAGATACTCTCCTGGAGGGGGCATTTCAGCCTGAGGGCCTGGTCACTCAATGACCCAAATGGGGATTCAGGGAGGCCCACCTCCACCACCCCTACTGTCCCCAGGCTGCCCCACCCAGTAGCCCGGGACAGGAACATGTTGCAGGCCAGGCAAGCAGCTCACAGTTCAGTGGCCCCGACAAGCCCAGCGCTCCTCACCGCAGCCACACAACTACTTTCTAAAGCTGCCAGCAGGACAGAGAAGTCTTCGTCCTCTATGAGAAGAGAATTCAATATCAGGGGCCTGTTTCTAGACAGCACTCTTCCAGCTCACACGCCCTCCCCTTCTCATTGAGGCCATGGCGGGGTGGGGGCATGAAGGACTGGCAGGGGTGAGGAGAACACAGGTTGGCCAGGTGCCCTTCACACCAACCCCAAGTGCCCCAGGGGTCATGCAGACCTGTCCAGCTTGTGCTGCTGACCAGCAGAGCTGGCCGCTCGTGGAGACGTGTCACCAGCCTACTCCCAGCATCCCGCTCTGTGAAGGCCAACCGCTCTGTGGCTGGGTCCTCAGGTTCTGAGATGAAGGAGCAGAAAAAAACCCTGTGAGAGGCCACAGAGCAGGCCCAGGACCCAGAACGGGCATCTCTTGCCATGGCGAGGCCTGCAGACTCCCAACGGTTGGGGTGGCCAGCCACATCAGCAGCACCAGGCCATCCCTGCCATCCGGGGCCTGGGCTTGCTTTCTCTAATATTGTTGCTGGGTGCTAAGGTTACAACAGCAAACAAGACTGACTCATTCCTTTTCTCCATGGGACTTACTGTCTTATCATCCCCTGGACTCAAGATGAGCATGCTAGGACGCCCTCCCACACCACCCCAGCTTACCCAGGTGCCCACCTCAGGGTGTGTGGACCTGCAGAAAGGTCCCCTCCTTAGCCCCGTGAGACACCCCAGGGGACACACAGGTCCACAGATCCTGCCGCAGGCCTGGGAACCCACTGGCAGGAGAGTAAGACAGTGCAGGGGTCCACAAACATTTCCTAAAAGGCCAGAGAGTAAATACTTCAGGCTTTGCGGGCCACAGGTTCTCTGTTGCAAAACGCAATTCTGCTATTGTAGCTCAAAGGCGGCTGTAGACAACTCAGAAGGCAATGAGTGTGTTGTGTCCCAATAAAACTTGATTTACAAAAGCAGGAGACTGGCCTGTAGCCTTAGTTTGCCAACCCCTGGATGAGTGGGTTCCCAGTTCTGCAGTGAGAAGGGGAGAGGCCAGGGCAGTGGCGAGCAGGAGAGAAGGCAGCTGAGGATGGCAGGCCTACCGGGCCCTGAATGGAGAGTGCGTGCCGCCCAGCTTCATGAAGAGCCGGTGCTGCAGGTCCAGAGGTGTCTCTTTAAAGAAAGATGCCGGCTTGTCATAGACGGTCACAGCCCTGCAATGAAATCATGGCAGGGCTATTGGGAGGGCTGAAGAAAGGCCTCAGGAATAGAGGACTCAGAGGCTCCAGGAAAAGAAGGACGCTTGGGGAATCCAGACGATGACAAGAAGAAGCCTTGCAATCACTTGGGAATGCACAGAGAGACATCCTAGGATCAAAACTGCCTGGACCCCCTGGCTGGCTGGGAAAGAAACTCTGCCCTCTCCTCTCCCGGCTTCCCCAAATTTTCGCATAATGTTGCCAAGCATTAGTCCAGCGTGGAGGCTACTTTCTGCTCAAACCACTCATTTGGGTCCCGCGCCCAACATCACCTATCCTCAGTAAAACAACCTTTACTTCCTTCTTCCTGGTTTCCAGAAAGTTCCCCTAAAGCCCTGAGGAATCACCGAATGAAAGGGGCTTTTTACAAACAGGAAACTTAAGTGGAGTGCCAATACACAACATGGATTGCACCAGGCTAGGTCTAAGATAAAACCAGACTGTGGACAACAGGACAGACAAGACCCACATGGCTCTGCACTGCCTGGGTCTGTTATTGTGTGGAAGAATGTCTTAGTCTGTTGCTCCTGTGGATGTAGCTAAAGCACGAACCAGGAGTTTTCATCCTTTTTTTTTTTGAGACGGAGTCTCACTCTGTCACCCAGGCTGGAGTGCAGTGGTGCGATCTCGGCTCACTGCAAGCCCCGCCTCCCGGGTTCATGCCATTCTCCTGCCTCAGCCTCTGGAGGAGCTGGGACTACAGGCGCCAACCACCACGCCTGGCTAATTTTTTGTATTTTTAGTAGAGACGAGGTTTCCCTGTGTTAGCCAGGATGGTCTCGATCTCCTGACCTCGTGATCCGCCCGTCTTGGCCTCCCAAAGTGCTGGGATTATAGGCGTGAGCCACCGTGCCCGGCCGTCTTCATCCTTAGAAAGCAGTTAGAAAGACACCTGAGAACCAATCCCAAACTGCAGCCTTCCACAGAACCTTCTGGAACCTTCTGGAATGCAACTCATTACTGCCAGAGGGTCTTTGATGAGAGTCTACTCTCCACCATTTGTCTTCAGAGAGAATACCCATATATTCTCTTTCCGTGGAAAGGTAAGTTATTGGAGTTTATGCAGTCTGGTGTATTAATTGAGAGCTTTACTTCAAAGAATGTCACGTTTACTATTCAGTCTCACAGACTGGGTTAAAAAGGCAGTGTTGACTATTAAGTTGTAAATTACTATGACGATCATTATTATTGAAGCAAGCTGTGAGAAATGAGCATTATCTTACAATATCTGCATTTTAGTGAACCTGAAGGAAGAGTGTATTTGCTGGAATTACAGAAGCCTGAGAACCACAGGGGAATTCTCACTGCAGGGTATTCAAGGTCCAAAGCTGATTCTATTTTGCATGCTCAATCCTTCCTCAATTTATTTTTATTGCTTTCTTTATTTTTTGAGACAGGGTCTCCCTCTGTCGCCCAGGCTGGAGCGCCTTGGTGCTATCTCAGCTCACTGCAACCTCGCCTCCCGGGTTCAAGTGATTCTCCTGCCTCAGCCTCCGGAGTAGTTGGGATTTCAGGCACCCACAACAAAGCCCAGCTAATTTTTGTATTTTTAGTAGAGACGGGATTTCACCATGTTGGCCAGGCTGGTCTCGAACTCCTGACCTCAGGTAATCCTCCTGCCTTGGCCTCCCAAAATGCTAGGATTATAGGCATGAGTCACCGTGCCCGGCCCTCAATTTTATTTTTCTATTTATTTATTTAGAGATGGATTTTCACTCTTGTCCCCCAGGCTGGAGTGCAGTGGCGTGATCTCGGCTCACTGCTACTTCTGACTCCAGGATTCAAGAAATTCTCCTACCTCAGCCTCCCGCGTAGCTGGAATTATAGTCACGCACCCCTAAGCCTGGCTAATTTTTGTATTTTTAAGTAGAGACAGGGTTTCACCATGTTGGCCGGGCTGGTCTCGAACTCCTGACCTCAGGTGATCCACCTGCCTCGGCCTCCCAAAATGCTGAGATTACAGGTGTTAGTCACTGCACCTGGCCCTTCAATTTAATTTTAATAAAATTATCAAGGAAATAAGCCACAAAAGGACAATGTGCAGACTTTAGAAGAGAGCTGTCCAATAGAAGTATAAAGTAATCCACATGTGTAATATTAAATAATTTAGTCACCACATTAGAAAAAGTAAAAGGGGTGAAATGAATTCTCCTAGTAAACTTTAACCAATAAATTCAAAATATTATTATTTCAACATTAATGAATACTTAAAAATTCTTAATGGATATTGTATGTTCTTTTTTTTTTTTTTTTTTTTTTTTTTTTGCTTATGAAGGCTTGGAAATCTAGTGTATATTTTACACTAACAGCATATCTCAATTGAGATGGCCACATCTCAAGTGCCCAGTAGCCACGTGTGGCCTGAGGCCATGACTCTGGGCAATACAGCTTTAAGTGAGTCTAGGGCAGGGCAGAGGGCAGCACCTGGGATCAGGTGTGGAGCCTGGGGCCTTGTTTAGCACCCTCTGGTGAGGGCACTTTCTTTCCATAAAACCCAGGTCAAGCATGCCTCACAAAGGGGACAGTGGAAGTGCCTCAGTTTACTTGGGAGCTTGGCCTCTCCAGCTTGCCTTCCTACTGCCTGGAAGAAGATTGGTGTCCTCTTGCCTTCTCTAGCCCCTTTCACAAGAACCCTCCCAGAATTTAGTCCTATGAAGGGCCAGGGGTGCAAGGAGCCACCCACACAATGACAGGACCCACCAGCAATACCAGAAGTTGGCCAGCCCTACTCATCCAAATTCCCTTCTGCCAGCTGAACATCACAAGGATTTCAGACTGCCATGCTGTGGCAACTCCATTTTAGGGTCTGGGCATGTAAGGATTACTGTATTAATCCATTCTCACTCTGCTAATAAAGACATACCTGAGGCTGGGTAATTTATAAAGAAAAAGAGGTTTCATGGACTCACAGATCCATATGACAGGGGAGGCCTCATGATTATGGCAGAAGGTGGAGAAGAAGCAAAATCACATCTTACATGGCAGCAGGCAAGAGAGTTGTGCAGGGGAGCTCCCCTTTATAAAACCATTAGATCAGGCAGGGCACAGTGACTCACATCTCTAATCACAGCACTTTGGAAAGCCAAGGTGGGTGGATCACCTGAGATCAGGAGTTTGAGACCAGCCTGACCAACATGTTGAAACCACATCCCTAATAAAAATACAAAAATTAGCCAGGCGTGATGGCTCATGCCTGTTGTCCCAGATTCTTGGGAGACTGAGGCATTAAAATTGCTTAAATCCAGGAGGCAGAGCTTTCTGTGAGCTGAGATCATGCCACTGCACTCCAGCCTGGGCAACAGAGTGAGACTCGGTCTCAAAAAAGGAAAAAAAAAGAATTAGATCTTGTGAGACTTATTCAATGCCATGGGAACAGCTGGGGAAAGACCCAGCCCATGATTTAGTTACCTCCAACTAGGGCCCTCCCACAGCATGTGGTGATTATGGGAACTACAATTAGTGATTTTGGTGGGGACACAGCCACACCATATCAGTTACTGAGCTGGGCATCTTCTTCCTTGAATGCATATTGGCCTCTGAGGCACTTCCTGGTTAACCTCATTCCACAGCTGAGAAAACCCAGGCTTGGCACAGGCAAGGGATCTGACCCAACGTCTCCCATCTTATTAGTGGAAGGACCAAGACTGGACCCACAACTGTGCTCCTGTTTTGAGTCACCATGCTGCCCCCAAGATCAGATCTCAAAACAAGCAGACATGGGGGCTCAGAAAGTCCCCAGCCTAGAACTTTCCTGTCAACCCAATGACACTAAAGGCTAAGCTGGCTGCTTATTCTTCTGGATTCACACTAGAATGACCTTGGGGTGTGTTTCACACATGCCGATGTCTGGAGATTCACCCCCAGCTAACTGACTATGAATCTCTGGGTTGGGGCCTGGGCACTGATATTCATGCAGAGCTTCTGAGATGGTCCTATTGCATTGCCAAGGTCGACACCTGCAGAAACATTGCACACTTTTTCATTCATTTAGTTATTAAATAGGTAATATTTATTATTATTTTTCCAGACACGGAAGCGTTGCAAGAATAGTACAAAGACATCCGTTATACCCTTCGCTGAGATTCCCCAGTGCTACCATTTTACCCCATTTGCTTTATTATTTTCTAAGTGGCAGATGAGTTATCCTTTACCCCTAAATATTCCTGTGTATTCCTTAATAACAAGGACTTTCTCTTATCTAACCAATGCAATGATCAAAATCAGGAAACTAACCCTGCTACAATACGGTTTTCTAATGTATGGACCTCATTCAGATTTCGCCAGTTAACCCAATGATGTACATTGGAGCAAACGATCATCCCAGATCATGCATTATTTTCAGTTGTTGTGTCTCTGTAGGTCCCTTTCAACCAGGAACAGCTCCTCAGTTTTTCTTTATCTTTCATAGTATTGGCATTCTTGAAGAACGCAAGACGGTTATTTGATAGAATGTCCCTTACTTTGGACTTGGCTGATGTTTCTTGGCGGTGATATTCTTATGCATTTGGGGTGGGACTATCACAGCAATGGTGTCATGTTGTCTGTGCATCGCATCAGGAGGGACATGCTGATGGTTTACCCCATTACACCAAAGTGAATGTTGATCGTTCAGTGAAGGTGGGCGCAGGATCATTGCATTATATTGCAGAAGCCATCATCAGCCATGCTCGCTCTGATTAACCGATCATCTTACGTAGCCATTTATCTAACAAGGCTGTAAGGGTCTTGAACTCAGGGTAAGCAAGCCTTAAAGCAGAAGAGAAGAAAGAAAGGAAGGCACTGGAACCTGGAGCTTTGGCAAAGGGGGCAGGTGTGGGGAACGCACCACCAAAGTTGTTCCTGGCATTAGGATGAAGAGGAAGGAGAACATTCTATCTAGAAGGGGTTTGAGGTTAGCCAGAGGGGTATGGGAGAGTCAGAGTCTGCCCACTTGTGGTTTTGCTGAGGGCTACACTGTGGTAGACAGGTCTTTCATTGCTGCTTTTGAAAATTTTGTTTCGCAATCCTTCATCTAAAACAGAACAATTCCCTTTATCTAAGTTTTGGCCCACTTTGCTTCATCTGTCTTCTCTTCTTTTATTTTTAGAGACAGGGCCTTGCTCTGTTGCCCAGGCGGGAGTGCAGTGATGTGATCATAGGTCACTGCAGCCTTGACCTCCTGGGCTCAAGCAATCCTCCTGCCTTAGCCTCCTGGGTAGCTGGGACTACAGGTGTGCACCACTGCACCTGGCTAATTTATTTTATTTAGTTTAGTTATTGTAGAGACGGGGTCTCACTTTGTTGCCCAGGCTGATCTTGGACTCTTGGCTTCAAGGGATCCTCCCACCTCGGCCTCCCAAAATGTTGAGATGACAGGCATGAGCCACCACGCCCACCTCTGTCTTTTCTCTTGGGATTAATGACTTCCACAATAGCTCCAGGAATAATTTTTGTTAAGGTGATGCCTGGCTTGACACTTCTGGTAACTCCCGTTGTTTATCTATTGCTTATCTCCAGAACCCATTTGATGCTTCCTACTTCAAAGTGCACTAGCGCCTGTCAGCTTGAAGGCATCCCCTGAGCTGCTGGCAAACAAGGCCTTTTTACCCACAGATTAACCTCTTATTTGTTTTAATAAATGATAAAAAGTTGGTTTGCCTCCTGTGCTTATGTTGGTTGGGGCCAAGAGGGGATCGTGGTGATTTCTGTCCACCTGGGACCTGAGGCCTCCTGGTGGCCCCTGAACAAAAGTGAGGCAGGCAGAGCGATGAGCAGGGTTCCCCGTCTGCCTCGCTGCCATCAGTACTTCTGCCTGTGGTTGTCTTTGGCACGTTATCAGGATGTGTCACTCCCTCATCTTTGTTCCCTCTCCTTCTTGTATTTACCTTCACCTGGGCTGCTAAGTGCTGTGGGAGAAACATCAGGTTGTTGCGGAGATTGTGGCCACAACAAATTTAGGTTCCCCACCCTCAGGTTGTCCCTCACTGGTCTCTTCCTCGTACCTTTGAAGAAAACAACTCGTGGAAGTCGTCTTATTCATAAAGGTGAACATTTCACAGAGCAGGGCACTGTTGTGGGTTGAATTGCATCCCCTCTCCCACAAAAGACTTCTTGGAGTCCTGATCCCCAGTACCTCAAAATGTGACTTATTTGGAGATAGTCATTACAAAGGTAGTCAAGTTAAAATCAGGTTGATAGAGTGGACTTTATCCAGTATAATGGGTGTCCTTATGGACAGGGGAAATTGGCCAGGTGCAGTGGCTAATGCCTGTAATCCTAGCACTTTGGGAGGCTGAGGCAAGAGGATCACTTGAGGCCAAGGTTCAAGACCAACCTGGCCAACATAGGGTGACTCCTATCTCTATTAAAAAGTTAATAAATAAAATAGGCCGGGCACTGTGACTCATGCCTGTAATCCTAGTATTTTGGGAGACTGAGGCAGGAGGATCACTTCAGGCCAAGGTTCAAGACCAACCTGGCCAACATAGCAAGATCCCCATCTCTATTAAAAAATAATAAAAGAGGCCAGGCACGGTGGCTCACGCCTGTAATCTTAGCAGTTTGGGAGGCCAAGGCGAGTGGATCACTTGAGGTCAGGAGTTCAAGACCAGACTGCCCAACATAGTGAAATCTGTCTCTACTAAAAATACAAAAAAATTAGCTGGGCACAGTTGTGGGCAACTGTAGTCCCAGCTACTCGGGAGGCTGAGGAAGGATAATTGCTTGAACCCGGGAGGCAGAAGTGGCAGTGAGCCAAGATTGCACCACTGCACTCCAGCCTGGGTGACAGAGCAGGATTCTGTCTCTAAATAAATAAATAAATAAATAAAATTATATATATCTATATATATATACACACTACATATATGTGTATTTGTGTGTGTAGATATAGACATAGATATAGATATATGGAAAGGGGAAATTTTGGACACAGATGCACACAGGGAGAAGGCCACGTGAAGACTGGACTTCTGCTGCCACAAGCTAAGGAGCTGGCGGAAGCTGGGAGGGAGATCCTTCCCTAGCATCTTCAGAGGGAGCATGGCCCTGACAATGCCTTCATCTCAGCCTTCTGGCCTGCAGGTGTGAGACAATGCATTTCTGCAGTTCTAAGCCATCCAGCTTGTGATACCTTGTTATAGCAGCCTGAGGCATTTAATACAGCAGCAGTCTGAGCTCTTCCCATATAAACTCTTCATTTAATCTTCACCACAACCGCCCCGCCCATAAGTGCTGTTGTTACTGTCTTCATTGCATCTTCGTTTTATCCATGATGTCTGCAGCACAGACAGGTTCAGTAATTTGCTCATGGTCACTTGAGATAATAAAACCCCACTCTAGGGAACCTCTCATGCCTGCTTCTGGCTGTCACCTTCCCTCTCCACTTTCCTCCTGTCCCCTTCCTCTCCATCTCCTTTATGAGGCCTTCTTTGCTGTCCCATCTCTTCTTTGTATTTTTACTTTTTATTAATTTTTTTTTGTGGGGGGGGGGAATGGGGTCTCGCTATGTTGTGCAGGCTGATCTTGAACTCCTGGCCTCGAGCTATCCTACTGTCTCAGCCTGAGTAGCTGGGATTACAGGTGTGAGCCACCATACCCAGCTGTTGTCTCATCTCCTAAATGTCTGCCTTCCCCAGCATCCCTGCCCGCAGTTCCCGCCTCGGTAGCCCCTCCTGAGCCTCAGTCACCACCTGTGCTGATGAATTGCTGTTCGCCCTCCTCCCAGGCAGGATGCCCCATGGTCACTGCAGGCTCAGCCCATCCACAACAGATTCACAAAGCCGGTCCCTCAATGCTGGATTTCCTAGATTTCCCAGCCAACAGTACCACCAGCTTAAAACCCTGCAGCCATGCCTAAATCCTCTATCTTCCTGTACCCCACTTCCCCACGACCAACCCTTGCTGATTTTATGGCTAAATCCCTCTCTTGGCAGTCAGGACCAGCTGCAGAATTTGCAAGGCCCAGTGCAAGATGAAAATATGGACCCCCTCATTCAAAAATCAGAGGAAAAGCACTGCTGAAGTATTACCATATAAAGCATTTTCTTTCTTCTGTGGTCTCTGCGTCTCAATTTATCATGATGCTTTCATTTGTTATTTAATGTCCAAGCAAAAAAAAAAAAATAACATTTTAAATTACTAGCATGGATTATACTGTTCTTCTTTACATTGTGCAATGCCAGATTTAAATAGGAACATTGGACTCAAATGAGGAATCACAGAAATGACATAATTTGTACTTTGCATGTGGGATTTTTTTGCCTCACAGAAACAGTGAGACATTGCAGGAAACTAATTCAGCTGTTTTTGTTTGTTTGTTTGTTTGCTTTTGTTCTTCTCCCTGAGACAGAGTCTTGTTCTCTTGCCCAGGCTGGAGTGTAGTGGTGAGATCTCGGCTCACTGCAACCTCCGCCTCCTGGGTTCAGGCCATTCTCCTGCCTTAGTCTCCTGAGTAGCTAGGATTACAGGAGCCTGCCACCACACCTGCCTAATTTTTGTACTTTTAATAGAGACAGGGTTTCGCCATGTTGGCCAGGCTGGTCTCGAACTCCTGACCTTGTGATCCACCCACCTCGGCCCCCCAACATGCTGGGATTACAGACATGAACCACCACACCCAGCCATTCATCTGTTTTTATTTCACTTTTTCAATCTACCACCACTCTCTACCTTTGGCTTACTGATGTGTAAGGAAGAAATGAAAGGAAAAATAACTCTGACTCTGCTAACTTTGCCTCTCCTATGTCATCATTTCCAGTGGAAGTGGTTGGCTACTACAGGGAATCAGATAAGTAGAAAAGGCTGGGAGAGAGTTCCTTGTTTGTTCCTGTTTCTTAGAATGCCATTGACTTGGTTTTCAATTCTGATTCTATAATAAAAGAAAGTGCGACCTCTTGGTGCTGTCAGCATCTCTCGCAGACTCCGTTGTGGACATAGTAGGCTTCCCTTATGCTCACTTGGAGCCTTGCTGGGCTCCCATGCACTGCAGACCCCCCAGGATTCTATGCTCAGGGCACGGCAGACACGCCATGGGGAATGAGGTGGCAAGGGACGGGGGTAACTCATATTGTTGGTGTCTCATCTGCCCACGCAAATGTTCTATTGCCCCATTGGATTTCACTGATAAAACATAGATTCAGACTGGGTGCAGTGGCTCATGCCTGTAATTCCAGCACTTTGGGAGGCTGAGGTGGGCAGATCACTTGAGGTCAGGAGTTCAAGACCAGCCTGGCCAATATGGTGAAACCCACTCTCTACTAAAAATACAAAAATTAGCCGGGCGTGGTGGCAGGTGGCTGTAGTCCCAGCTACTTGGGAGGCTGAGGCAGGAGAATCACTTGAGCCTGGGAGGTGGCGGTCGCAGTGAGCTGAGATGGTGCCAGTGCACTCCAGCCTGGGCGACAGAGTGAGACTCTTTCTCAAAACAAAACAAAACAAAACAAAACAAAACAAAACAAAACATACATTCAAACATAAAATGAGGAATTTTAAGACAGTGACAGCAGAGCATTAAGCCAAGCTCAAGGTCCCTGTCAGCATGGGGCCCTGTGTGACTGCACAGGCCAAACACCCATGAATTCATCTCAATTTCCATCCCTCTCACACTCTTCCCCACTGCTGTGGTCTCAGTTGACACCTTCCTCATTTCTACTCCGGAGGACTGCCTGTACCCTGATTTCTTCAAGGGTCTCTCCAGTCTATCAGACACAGCCCAACCCAGGGTTTCTCTGCATTGCAATCCAACCAGCATCACCCCTCTGCTTACCAGCCTGCAGTAGCTCCCATGTCCCTTCAGGTTAAAATTCAGACTTCTTAGCAAGGCACTGCTTATTTCTCCAGCCTCTGTGACAGCCTCACACCCAACAATCGAGCTCTGCTGATCCTGGAGAAGCTCCCTCTGAGCCTTTGCACACCTGTCTCTGCTACTTGAGGGTGATTTCCACCTGGTTACCTCCTTGTGTCACCTCCCACCTGGAAGCCTTCCTCATCTCTGATGTAGCCGTTTTTGCCCTCTCCCTACACACCCTGTGTTTCCTCTCTCCCAGCATTCATCTCGTGACGTACAATAAGCAATTGATTAACTTGTCCTTAAGGCCAGGGCCATACCGGGTCTTCTTGTTGACAAATGAGAGAGCAGCGAGCACTTGGCCCTCTAATGGCATCTGTGGATCACTAGCTGGAGGCCTTGGGACTCTAAGAGCCAAGCTATTCAAGTGCTACAAATAACACCGCATGGCCCCCGGTCTTTCCTGTTTCCTCCCTGCATCTATCAAGAAGGACCAGCTGTTTTTTGAAGCCCTGCTTTCCTTCCCATGGCTTTGCTCACCCCCACCCTGCTTGGCCTGCAAACTCAGAGCTTTAACTTTCCTATAAATACAGTTTCTCTCCAAGTCAACTTGATTCATTCATGCAGGGTCCTAGTTCTCTCTCTCGGCCATTCTAATTCTCCTGTTTCCATTACATTTAAGACAACCCAGGCTGGGTGTGGTGGCTCACACCTGTAATCCCAGCACTTTGAAAGGCTAGGGCAGGTGGATCACCTGAGGTCAGGAGTTTGAGACCAGCCTGGCCAATATGGCGAAACCCCATCTCTACTAAAAAACAAAAATTAGCTGTGTGTGGTGGCACATGCCTGTAGTCCCAGCTACTCGGGAGGCTGAGGCAGGAGAATCACTTGAACCTGAGAGGCAGAGGTTGCACTCACACCACTGCACTCCAGCTTGGGTGACAGAGTGAGACTCTGTCTCAAAAAAAACCCCAAAAAGACCAAGAAAAGGGCATTCATTTATGGTATAAGAGCGGAAACCAAAAGGCAGAGGTTCCTCGATGGAACTCTGCTGGGATAGTGCTTATCAGCCATTCAACCTCTTCACCACCCGGCGCACATCCAGAAAAGCCCCGGTGGGATTGATTTAGGGGCTATAAGTAAACATTATCAAGTAGGTGAATTTGCAGCTACAGAATCTGCAGGTAATGAGGATTGATTGTAGATGCACCAATGAACTGGTGGTCAGATATTCAACTTAAACGTCCAGGAGATGGCCAGCACCCAAGAGCTAGAAAAAAGGATTCCTGGAGGGTGGTGAAGAAAATAGAAGTCTCAGAGGCTCAGAGACAGATGAATGTAATCCCTCAGCTGCCACCTGAGATGTGGCTATAAAATGAGGCAACAGATTAAGAATAGTAAGCATAAGATTGAGGCCAGGCTCGGTAGCTCACGCCTGTAATCCCAGCACTTTGGGAGGCCAAGGCAGGTGGATCATCTGAGGTCGGGAGTTAGAGACCAGCCTGGCCAACATGGTGAAACTATGTCTCTACTAAAAATACAAAAAAAAATTAGCCAGGCGTGGTGGCACATGCCTGTAATCTCAGCTACTCGGGAGGCCAAGGCAGGAGAATCACTTGAACTGGGGAGGCGGAGGTTGCAGTGAGCTGAGATCTCACCACAGCACTCCAGCCTGGGCAACAGAGTGAGACTACATCTCAAAAAAAAAAAAAAAAAAGGATTCGGGCAGTCAGAAGCGACCACCGCCAGCAAAGAAAGGATGAGGGGGAGTGAATAAAGGGTCTACAGGAGAATTAAGAAAGTGTGGGCCCTTGGGTCCATTTGGTGAAGTGGAGCCAGGTCACTGGTGAGTGTGCCAGGGAACCAATTAAGGATGAATATGAAGCTTGAGGCCAGGCCAGCATAAGTGCCATGTGGGCGCCTGTATTTCTTTACATTTGCTGACTGTCAATCCAGCCACCTGTGTTTCTGTGAAATACAAAGGAAGAAATGCTGTGACTTTCTCTCACTCTAAGGTGAAACCAAAGAAGGGGAAACTGAGAGACCTGTCCGAAATCCTCCACCGAGCCACTCGGGAGCCTGGAATAGATACAGCCGGTCAACTGACCTGTTCTCTAGGCACAGCTTTTTGGATTTGCCACTTGCGTCTTCTTCAAGTTTTAGAAACTTCCAGACTCTGGCTTTTTTGCTGCTTTGGGGAACAAAGCATGTTCATTCAAGTGTACAGCAAACCTGTCCTGCTCCTAAATCCAGTCATCTTCAAAATAGATTTTTGAGGTTTACAGTGCTAGTCTCCAAATGTCATTATCATCCCTAAAGTGAAAAAAAAAGGTTTAATTATTATGAGCAGTGAAATTACCATATAATCTTCCAATTAACTGAATAAGGCACCAAATAAGTGCCCTCAAGCCTTAATTTCTACCTTGAAGTTAAGATAGGTATCATGCTTACCTTGATCATCCTACACATCCTCAAAGTGGGCGGAGTTGCAAGGCTGTCTAAGCGGGTGGGGTGGAAGGCGGTGCACTTCCACCCCCTTGTCTGTTTGTCGAGCTCTGTTGGTCCTTCTGATTGGTTAGCGACCCTGAGTGTTTCTGAGAGCCTTTTGTTGTATACTGGGGCAGAACCACTAATTTGGCCAATTCCAAGCAGAAAAGATCAAGTATAGATTTCATATCTGAGTTTTAAGTGCTAGTAAAAAGTTGCATTAAGTTATCAAATGCACTGTGATCCTGGCTTCATTGCCAAGTGGCTCTGTAGTTTGAGGATTATGCTGCATCCCGAAGAAAAGAAAAGCAAATTGTTCCATTTAGATGCTTGGGGTAAAGGGGGATTGATCCAGTTACTTTTCAATTAATCTAAGTCAGATGGTGTTCACTGCATAACTTTGTAAGGTTTGTACTTGGTCAAAGAACAAAGTGTGAATTTTTTTTTTTTTTTTTTTTTTTGAGATGGAGTCTCGCTCTGTCGCCCAGGCCGGAGTGCTGTGGCGCAATTTCGGCTCACTGCAAGCTACACCTCCCGGGTTCATGCCATGCTCCTGCCTCAGCCTCCCAAGTAGCTGGGACTACGGGTGCCCGCCACCACACCCGGCTAATTTTTTGTATTTTTAGGGGTTTCACCGTATTGAAGGTCTTTGGTTGAAAAGGCATGAAGAAGTTTCTACCAGTCCTGTTTGAAATAAAATAATACTGTAATCTAAAGATTGTAATACAAGACCAACACAGCACATTTAGAGTAACTTTTTAAAATTGGTTGACTGATGTGCTTCTCTCTCTCTCTTTCCGTAGACATGTGTGTAGCATATTACATAGAGAAATCTATAAGCCCTGGGTTATGTTGGTTGCTGATGAGGATTAATCAGAAGCTACTACTCACTTATTCACCTTTGATCTGCTCTTGTTCTGGTAGTCTTCTTCATTGTGTCATTCATTCAAGAACTGTTCATTGGGCTGGGTGCGGTGGTTCACACCTGTAATCCCAGCACTTTGGGAGGCTGAGGCGTGTGGATCATGAGGTCAGGAGTTTGAGACCAACCTGGCCAACATGGTGAAACCCCACCTCTACTAAAAATACAAAAATTAGCTGGGACTGATGGCATGCGCCTGTAATGCCAGCCACTTGGGAGGCTGAGAGAGGAGAATTGCTTGAACCCGGGAGGCAGAGGTTGCAGTGAGCTGAGATTGTGCCACTGCACTCCAGCCTGGGTGACAGAGCAAGACTCCATCTCAGGAAAAAAAAAAAAAAAAATTGCATGGTCATGTCAGCATCCTCCCCACGCCCCCTTCCCCAGATCAACCAAAAAAATGGAGAAAAATCTGGAAGGCCACTCCTTTAGACCACTAATGCTAAGGATGAGTGCACACTCACAAAGCGTGCAAGCCAGCTATATTAGTTCATTCTTGCATTGCTATAAAGAAATATCTGAGACTGGGTAATTTATACTTGATCTTAGCCAAAAGGCTGAGAAGCAATGGGATTGGGTAATTTATAAGGAAAGAGGTTGAATTGGCTCACTCTTCTGCAGACTGTACGAGAAGCATAGCAGCTTCTGCTCCTGGTGAGGCCTCAGGAAGCTTCTAATCATGGCAGAAGATGAATGAGGAGCAGTCCTCCTACATGGCAGGAGCAGGAGCCAGAGACAATGACTGGGGGAGGTGCCGTGCACTTTTTTTTTTTTTTTTTGAGACAGAGTCTTGCTCTGTCATCCAAGCTGGAGAGCAATGGTGTGATCTTGGCTCACTGCATCCTCTACCTCCTGAGCTCAAGTGATTCTCCTGCCTCACCCTCCCAAGTAGCTGGGATTACAGGCGCCCGCCGTCATGCTGGCTACTTTTTGTATTTTTATGAGAGACTGGGTTTTGCCATGTTGGCCAGGCTGGTCTTGAACTCCTGACCTCAGGTGATCCACCCACCTCAGCCTTTCAAAGTGCTGGGATTACAGGCGTGAGCCACCACGCCCGGCCCCACATACTTTTAAACGACCAGATCTCATGAGAACACACTCACTATCGTGAGTACAATACCAAAGAGAATAGTGCTAAACAATTCATGGGAAACCTGCCCTCATGATCCAACTGCCTCCCATCAGGCCCCAGTTCCAACACTGGGGATTACAATTCAACACACAATTGGGCGGAGATACAGATCCAAACTCTATCACCAGCCCTCCTGCTTTCACCTCCCCCGTTTTAGACAACCAGCGTTTGAATTGCCTCTTCCACTTCTGTGCCAAATTATGACTCTGAAGTGGATGCCTGTCTGCCCATTGTTGGACATTATGGGCTGTATAGAGTGCTCCTTTTTCTGAAGCAATGACGTTGGCCATCAAGATTAATGCAGTATCTCCTGTTCTGTTTTTTTTTTCCCCTTTTTCTTTTCTTTTTTTTCTTTTCTTTTTTTTTTTTGAGACAGAGTCTCCCTCTGTCTCCCAGGCTGGAGTGCAATGGCACGATCTCGGCTCACTGCAACCTCCGCCTCCTGGGTTCAGGTGATTCTTCTGCCTCAGCCTCCCGAGTAGCTGGGATTGGCTAATTTTTTTGTATTTTTGTAGTGACGGGGTGTCACCATGTTTGCCAGGTTGGTCTTGAACCCCTGACCTCAGGTGATCTGCCCACCTCAGCCTCCCAAAGTGTTGGGATTACAGGCATGAGCCACCGTGCCTGGCCTTTTTTTTTTTTTTTAATGGCACTCTGAGTATTTGCATCTTCTACCATGCAAACAAAGCCCAGTCCAGAGACAGCGTCTATTCCTGTCAAGACCTAGATGTAGCCCCCCAGGGCTGCCAGCATCCATCTCACTTGCCAGTTATGCTAAGAGCTTTCCCACCAGGGAATGTGCCTCACAGCCATGGGCAGTCTCTTTTCTCTTGCTGGCAGACAGAACAGTTCTTTTTTTTTTCCTTTTTTTTTTTTTTTTGAGAGGTTGTTCCACTCTTGTTGCCCAGGCCGGAGTCCAATGGCGTCATCTCGGCTCACCGCAACCTCCACCTCCTGGGTACAAGCAATTCTCCTGCCTCAGCTGGGATTATAGGCATGAACCACCACGCCCCAGTAATTTTGTATTTTTAGTAGAGATGGGGTTTCTCCATGTTGGTCAGGCTGGTCTCGAACTCCCAACCTCAGGTGATCCATTCACCTCGGCCTCCCAAAGTGCTGGAACTACAGGCTTGAGCCACCACACCCAGTGACAGAATAGTTATTGGCATTTTGAGCCCGAGGGTCATGGCTAGATTTAGCCCATCT
Organism: Homo sapiens; assembly: GCF_000001405.40. NCBI lineage: Eukaryota > Metazoa > Chordata > Mammalia > Primates > Hominidae > Homo > Homo sapiens. The sequence goes on along the minus strand of NW_021159989.1, from coordinate 46,155 downwards.
CTGCACTGCTGCAGAGCCACCTTGTTCACTCATTTCATGGACCCAGGTGACCACCTCACAGGAGCACACAGAAAAATCTCACTTGGTGACCCCAGCCACCTCCTGAGCCTGGAAGGGAGTTTTTCTGATGGGCATGAACCTGTTCTACTTCAAGACATCTTTCCCATCTCCACAGGGCTGTGCCCCATATGGATATCCCGTTAATAAGCCAGGTGGCTATTGCCCTCTTGCCTGAGTGTACAGCCAAGACACTGGTCACTGCCCAGGAGTCAGTCAAAACCCAAACACGGGGCTTCTACCACTGTTCGACTGATCAAATATATATTTCACAATATCACACTCCTGTAGAACACTTTGGAACACACACCATGATTCTTTGAAAATCAGTTATTGATATCATTCTAGTATAAATCAGCAGCAAGGAAAACAGCATGCAATTCAACTCACTGAGCAGACTGATTTTTATCATCTTTAGCCAGAGTAGCAGCCCTCCAAACAGGATGTTGTTTGTTCACCTCGAAATTATCATCCATAGACCAAACAGCTGGGGGTGAGTGAGTTGAGAGCTGGTTATATAGGGCATTGTCGAACTGCTGATAGAATCCAGCAGCTCCTCACTGTTCCAGTCAGTCGTAGGAGAAAAGAGGTTCCCTCCTTGGGAATATCTCATCCCTGCATTCCCCACATAGCATGATGCTGTATAAACCATTTCTGTTTTATTATGTTTCTTTCTTTTTTTTTTTTTTTTTTTTTTTTTTCTGAGATGGAGTCTTGCTCTTGTCGCCCAGGCTGGAGTGCAATGGTGCGATCTTGGCTCACTGCAACTTCTGCCTCCCAGGTTCAAGCTATTCTCCTCCCTCAGCCTCCCAAGTAGCTGGGATTACAGGCATCCACCACTATGCCTGGCTAATTTTTTGTATTTTTAGTAGAGACGGAGTTTCACCATGTTGGTCAGGCTGGTCTCAAACTCCTGATCTCAGGTGATCCACCCACCTCGGCCTCTCAAAGTGCTGGGATTACAGGTGTGAGCCACTGTGCCCAGCCTCATTAGAGTGTTTCTATGATGTCACTTGAGACAGCATGGGTATTTCAGGTGTCAAGATCATTTTATGGGCCGGGAGTTTTTGCCGGGAGACGGTGACAGGCTTTTTCCATATGCTGCATTAGAGGCTCCATAGAGGGGTTATTGAATGGAGAATATGTCCCTCCCAGCTCAGCAGCTTCCACTCTGCACTTTGTGGGCTGGGGACAATCTTACTGGCTCCCATCTCACGTCCCACTAATATTGCTTGAAGGACAAGTCAGATACAAAGTCCATTCCCTAATACAATCAGGTAAAAGAGATGTAACCATTTCATATGAAGCATGTTCAAATACACCAACTTTCATAATTCTACCAACCCTTACATTTTTAAGTTCTAGATCCAGGAGTTTCTCTTCTCCATCAGCCAGTGCAAAAAACTTTGAGTCGCCAGCAGAGGGTTGAGCCAAGGAGCCTTGGCCCTTTTGTCAATCTTTATCTGGATGAACCTGCCTCAACATTGGCCCAGGTGATTGCTGACCAGCTTTCTCATTGTAATCTCTGCTTAATGACTTTTAAAATTTCTCCAGACTAAGGTGAATACAGCAAACCCATTTGGAACTCCTTAATGTTGGCAGCCAGCAAGGGCTCTTTTTGGTCCACCCAACCTTCAATAGTGTTGTATTAAGACCTTTGTTTTCACCCCATCAATTTCCATTCTATTCGTCTCATTTCTTAAGCACCACTAAAGATTTTCAGCCTCCTGCGATGAGTCCCATGGCGCTTCCCTTTTTCCTCTTAGTTTTAGCTTTATTGATGTTTTCTTTAATCTCTTTATTTCTCAATCACTGCTTAAATACATCCACCTTCATGAGATGAGTCCTTTGACCCTGTCCTCTGCTTTTCCACATTATTTTATTAATTGCCCTAATGTTTTTATTAGCATCTATAAGACCCATGAGGGGAAGCTGAGATAGCAAATTCAATAAGGCTTCTCCGACCATAGCTTGATTTTGCAGCAGTGAGTTTGCATGAGGTGTCCATGCAAATCAAATGGGACCCCTTAATCACAGCATTTCCCATGACCTGGGTAACAGACAATGTAGTGGGTGGATATCCCAGTCACCATAAAGCCAGTCCCATGTGGCTTGCATACAAAGCATGTCAGCTGCTTCATCTGGAGGGCTCCACTTGGCATTTATAGGTGGAGTTGGACAGTCCCCCTTCTCAGGGTAAACAAACATTATGGTGGCTTTTATCCAGTCTACTAGGCTGGCTGTTGCCTCAGGAATAGCCTGCTGTATGTCCAGATCGCATGTAGCCATCTGAGGTTGTTCCATAGTGAGCTGTGGATCCTGCATCAACCCAAACATTCTCCTCCCCTCTGCAGCATGTAAAACCAAAGATATTGCCCCTAAATTAGTTACTCTCACAGTCCATTTTAGTAAAGGTCCCTCAGGGAGTTGAAGATACTGAAACACAAAATAAAACAATTCCTTCACACTCTACCCCTTTGTTTCAGTAGTTACTTAATTTTGCCCTTCCCCGAAATTGACTACCTTCTTGGTAACCACAGGTCTCAGAGGCATTTTCTGTTGTTTCTGCATAATTTTGCCCTTAGGGAATGGCTCCAAAGCTAGTGGCCAAATCCCAGACTCACTGCCATCTAAGCTTGGTGTAGCATTGAGGCTGGACCTAGCGCCCTCTTTTATTTTTATTTTAGCTATTACAGATAACAATAACCAAAGGATTGAATATTTCACTTCTTTATTATTAGTTTGCATTTCCTTGCACATCCAGTGAACCAACTTCCCAAGAGTTGGATCTATCTCCAAATTCCAGTGGTAACTTTCACCTTTAATAACTGAGTGCAGCACAGCTGTGACTTCATACCATGGGTGACCATGTGACCATCCAGGAATCAAAGGTCCCTTATCCTCCATCCTCTCATTCTTTTTTTCTTTTTGAGAAGGAGTCTGGCTCTGTCACCCAGGCTGGAGTGCAGTGGCACAATCTCGGCTTACTGCATGCTCTGCCTCCCAGGTTCACACCATTTTCCTGCCTCAGCCTCCCGGGTAGCTGGGACTACAGGCACACGCCACTACACCCAGCTAATTTTTGTATTTTTAGTAGAGACGGGGTTTCACTGTGTTAGCCAGGATGGTCTTGATCTCCTGACCTCGTGATCCACCCACCTTGGCCTCCCAAAGTGCTGGGATTACAGGCATGAGCCTCCGCGCCTGGCCCCTCTCATTCTTTCTCTTCCCAAAGCACAGGTTTCTATGAGCCACGGCCTCGACCAGCAAATCCCACTTCTGACACTAGTTGTGTGAAAACACATACACACACAAACTCAAAATACTTTCTCTATTCTTTCACTCAACAACAATCAACACAGAATATTTTTGTGACCAAATGTTTGGGGATTCCTCCCCACCAACAAGCAAACAATCAATTCTGCAGCAAATACCAGCTGGCTATACTCCAATTCAATTCTGACACCATCTACCTGGAGATAGCATCATATCCCACAGATTGAGGGCTGGGTCCCCAAGATTATTGCCCTTCTTCCCAGCAGTCACAGTCTGGGCCTCCAGAACTTCTGAACAACCAGCTTCAAGTTGAGGATCCCATAACCCCCTCCTTGGGTTCCATCAATATGGAGGGTTCACAGAAAAACTTTAGGGAAGTTTACTTATGTTTATCAGTTCATTATAAAGGCTATTACAAAGGATACAGATGAGGAGACACACAGGGAAAGGGATGGGGAAGGAGTGTGGAGCTTCTATGCCCACCTTGGGTGCCCTGCCCTCCAGAAACTTGTACATGTTTTGCTATCCAGAAGCTCTCCAAACCCAATTCTTTTGGACTTTTATAGAAGCATCATTACCTAGGCACAATTGATTAAATCACTGGCCATTAGTGACCAATAAAACCTTCAGTTCCTCTCCTCTCCCTGGAAGTTTGGGTTAGGCTCAAAGTCCCAACTCTCTAATCTTGCCTTGGTCGTTCCAGGGACTGGCCCCCATTCTGAAGATAGCTAGGGGCTGCCAGCCATCAGTCAACTTATTAGCATACCAAAACACATCACTTTGGAGATTCTAAGGGTTTTAGGAGTTGTATGGAAGGAAACATGTGAAAGATCAAATATATATTTCAAAATATCACACTCCTTTAGAACACTTTGGGACACATACCATGATTCTTTGAAAATCAGTTATTTACCTCATTCTGGTATAAATCAATGAAAATGACCGTGGCAAGTTGTAATCATTTTAAGGGGTTTATTTGCCAAAGTTAAGGACATCCACCAGGGAGACAGGTCTATGCCTTTCTCCAAAGATAATTTTAAGGGCTTCAATATTTAAAGGGGAAAGGATGGATATTGGGGGAATATACAAGTTTCATATGAGGGTGAGTAGAGGAAATAGTCATTCATGCTGTCACTTCATCTGGCTAAGGGAATCTGCAATTTTACATAAGATGATGTAAACAACAGGGCAGAGGAAGCAATCAGAAATCAGATATACATTTGTGATTGCTCTCAGGCGAGCAGAAGGATGACTTTGAGTTCTGTCCTGTCCCGTCCCGCATCTGTGGATAAGCTATCAATTGATATTGCCAGGGTGAAATTCAACAGAACTGTTTTCAAGTAAAGATCTTGGGGCCTGCAAGGAATCTCCTTGTGGGCAAAAGGTGAGCGATGTATGTAGCTTTTTATCTTTGTAGCCATCTTAGTTAGGAACCAAATGGGAGGCAGGTTTGCGTGACCCAGTTCCCAGCTTGACTGTTCCCTTTGGCTTAGTAAGTATGGGGCCCCAAGATTTATTTTCCTCTCACGCTGGTCTTTCTATAGTCACTGGATTATTTGAATATTAATGGATTTTCATTGTAAATGTGATGAGGATGCCAATCCCAAGAAGGATTTCCCTGTGTCTTTCAGAAGACAGAGGAGAGCTCCCTCCACTCTTAGGGGTTCATGTCGTGAACTCCTAATATGTATTCTAAAAATGAAAACCTGAGAACTTTGATCTAAGCTTTTCTAAGATTTGCTCCACCCAAGCCTTTCAGGATACTCCTTTGAGGAAGGTTTTAGCTATGGCAGTAACTGTAAGAGTTTCTGCTGATACACAGTGGGAGGATTCAACAGGGACGAGAATCTTGGAGTTACACATGAGCTGTACCAAGATCCCTGAGCAATGTGAAGCTGAGAAAAAAGAGCCTACATCCAGTTGGTCATGGTGACTCACGCCTGTAATCCCAGCACTTTGGGAGGCTGAGGCAGAAGGATCACCTGAGGTCAGGAGTTCGAGAACAGCCTGGCCAATATGGTGAAACCCTGTCTCTACTAAAAATAAAAAAATAGCCAGGCATGGTGGCACGCACCTGTAGTCCCAGCCACTCGGGAGGCTGAGGCAGGAGAATTGCTTGAACCTGGGAGGCAGAGGTTGTGGTGAGCCGAGATCATGCCATTGCACTCCAGCCTGGGTGATAGGAAAAAAAAAAAAAAGAATCTACATCCTCCCATTTCCTCTCCTCACCAGTTTAACAAGAATCAACAGAGCATCTCCAAGTTCTACTGGATTCCAGGACTGATTTCTTAACAGAGTGTGCACAACTGCCGTCTTCCAGGATGGCAAATACTTGCCCACAAATAGAGTTAGACCGTACAAGCTCTGGCTGAAATTATTAAGAAATAAAGCAGTTTTGACTGATCCAACATGATGGCTAATTTTACCCGGAGGGAATCATTAATAAACAGCTGCATTAGTAGCTGTTCTTTAAAAAGGATCTCTCTTCAACCAGCCAAGAAACCAAGGTGTGGGAAGTTCAGTGGCATGACTCTGCCCAGCACACTGGAATGCGTGAACTTGCCTACCGGGAAAGGAGAATGCCAAAAAGGGCGTTAGATTGGGAGCAGCTCATCTGTCATCTGCCTTTTGTTTAAGGACAAACTTGGCAGCTGACTCCTGCTCCAACCCACTTCCTACCTTCATCCTGGGAGATGCCTGGTCCACAGGGCATCTTCACTCTCAGTCCTGGCATCCTTGTTTCCAGCAACCTTCTCCACCAACCTCCTTCTATGGCCACTCCTGGACTTTTCCATAACCTGCAAATCCACCTTGAAATCACTCCTCAAACAACTCATGGGCACAGCCTCCTGCCTTTCCAGCCTGCTGTGTGATTCCCTCACTCTGACCTTGCTGGTCCTCATCAGAATCTCTGATCCCTTGGGCCCCTTGCCTCTTCTGTGCTCATTTCCTTTCTTATAATTAGCTTGGAGCCCACGGTTCATCATTTTGAGCAGTCTCTCGACAATATCCCCCTTCAAACTTGTCGGACCATAACCCACAGTAAGAAATCTAATACATATGAGCCAGGTGCAGTGGCTCACACCTGTAACCCCAGCACTTTGGGAGGCTGAGGTGGGTGGATCACTTGAGGTCAGGAGTTCCAGACCAGCCTGGCCAAAAACAAAAATTAGCCGGGCATGTTGCGGGCACCTGTAATCCCAGCTACTCTGGAGGCTGAGGCAGGAGAACTGCTTGAACCAGGAAGGTGGAGGTTGCAGCCAACTGAAATCACGCCACAGCACTCCAGTCTGGGTGACAAAGGGAGACTCCGTCTCAGGGGAAAAAAAAAAAAGAAAGAAATCGAAATACTTATGATCTGAGGGTCATCTGCATACGTATTTATCTATACACATACATATATACACAAGCCTCTTTCAACTTTAACTCAGTCACAATTATTTAAAAATCTCTCCCTGATCCTTCTTACAGCTATGTTTCTCTCTCTCTTTTTTTTTGAGATGGAGTCTTGCTCTTTCGCCCAGGCTGGAGTGCAGTGGTGTGATCTCAGCTCACTGCAACTCCACCTTCCAGGTTCACGCCATTCTCCTGCCACAGCCTCCCTGCGTCTGCCACCACGCCCGGCTAATTTCTTGTATTTTTAGTAGAGATGGGGTTTCACCGTGTTAGCCAGTATGGTCTCGATCTCCTGACCTCGGGATCTGCCCACCTCAGCCTCCCAAAGTGTTGGCATTGCAGGCGTGAGCCACTGTGCCCGGCACAGCTCTGTTTCTCTCATCTTCACCACACTGTTGCCACAGTCATCTATACAAACTGTACTAGTATTCCTATTGCTTCTGTAACAAATTGCCACAAACTCAGTGGTTTAAAACAGCACACATGTATTCTCTTACAGTTCTAGTAGTCAGATGTTTGCAATGAAGATTTCTGCATGGCTGCATTCCTTTTGGAGGTTTCAAGGCAAAATCTTTTTCCTTGCCTTTTCCCATTTCTAAAGACTGCCTACATTCTTGGACTCATGGCTTCATCGTTCCAACTGCTGGTTCTGTTGTCACAACTCCTTTTTCTGACTCTCTGACTCTGACTCTCTTGCCTTCCTCCTTTTTTTTTTTGAGATGGAGTTTTTCTCTTGTTGCCCAGGCTGGAGTGCAATGGTGCAATCTCGGTTCACTGCAACCTCAACCTCCTGGGTTCAAGCAATTCTCCTGCCTCAGCCTCCCAAGTAGCTGGGATTACAGGCATGCACCACCATCCCTGGCTAATTTTCATATTTTTAGTAGACATGGGATTTCACCATGTTGGCCAGGCTGGTCTTGAACTCCTGACCTCAGGTGATCCACCCACCTTGGCCTCCCAAAGTGCTGGGATTACAGGTGTGAGCCACTGCACTCAGCCACCTTCCTCCTTTTAAGGACCCTTGTGATTATATAAACCCCTTCCAGATAATCCAGGATAATCTTCCCCACTCAAAATCCTGAACTTAATCACATCTGCCAGTCCCTTTTACCATGAATGTCTGGTAACATAATCACTGCCTGGGGATTAAGGCCTGTGGACATCTTTGGGGGCCGTTACTCTGACTACTACATGGACCATCTTTGACTTTCTTACCTCCCACTCACTTTTCTTTTTTCTTTCCTTTTTTCTTTTTCTTTTTCTTTTTTTTTTTTTTTTGAGGTGGAGATTATCTCTTGTTGCCCAGGCTGGCATGCAATGGCGCAGTCTCAGCTCACTGCAAACTCTGCCTCCCAGATTCAAGTCATTCAGCTGCCTCAGCTTCCTCACTGGGATTACAAGCACCTGCCACCACGCCCGGCTAATTTTGTATTTTTAGCAGAGACGGGGGTTTTCTATGTAGTCAGGCTGGTCTTGAACTCTCCATCTCAGGTGATCTGCCTGCCTCAGCCTCCCAAAGTGCTGAGATTACAAGCGTGAGCCACCGCACCTGGCCCCTCCACTCACTTTTCAACCTTTTCCAAACAAGCTTCTGTCCCACCCCCCATTCCATATGGTTTCAAAATGGTTCTTGATGGCCTCCATGTTGCTGAAACCATGGGATTGTTCTAACTGTCCTTCTTCTTGACCTTTGGGCACTGTAGACCAAACAGCTTGAGACATAGGCAGGCAGCCTGGAGGAACAGAGCATTTGGGCGATGGCTGGTCCTCATGAACCTGTCCTGCTGTCACCCAGCAGCACATCCTCGTGGGACTGAGGCTGGCTACAGAAGGCATTCCACACCCCCTTGCTCCATGAGTTACCCAAGGCTCCGTGTGCCTAGGCTTTCTTTATTGCTTAAGAGTGTGGATCAGATAACTGCAGGTGAAGTTTTCTTAAACATTTTTGTTTACACATCCAAAGTTGATAACTGGGTGAGCTTTCACAAAGTAAAGCACATGCATGCCATGCAGATCAAGGAACAGGGCATGGCCAGCTTGCCTGATCTCCTCGTTCTCCCCTCCCTAACGTTAGCTCCTCTCCTCACAAAGGTAATGCTACCTTTGTGATTTTTTTTTTCCTTTTAAATAGACTTAATGTGTTAGAGAAGTTCTAGATTCATAGAAAAATGGAGCAGAGGCCAGGTGCTGTGGCTCACACGTGTAATCCCAGCACTTTGAGAGGCTGAGGCGGGCAGATCACGAGGTCAGGAGTTCGAGACCAGCCTGACCAACATGATGAATCCCCGTCTCTACTAAAAATACAAAAAATTAGCCGGGTGTGGTGGTGCATGCCTGTAATCCTAGCTACTTGGGAGGCTGAGGCAGGAGAACTGCTTGAACCTGGGAGGTGGAGGTTGCAGTGGGCTGAGATCTTACCATTGTATTCCAGCCTGGGTGACAAAGAAAGAAAAACAGAAAGGAGAGAGAGAGAGAGAGAAAGAAAGAAAGGAGGGAGGGAGGGAAGGAAGGAAGGAAGGAAGGAAGGAAGGAAGGGAAAAGGAAAGAAAGGGAAAAGAAAAGAAAGAAAGAAAAATGGAGCAGAAAGTGCAGAGTTTTCATCAACCTCTACTGCCACCTGCCACACACACACACATGCGCAGCTTCCCCACTAGCAATATCAAACCTGAGTGGGATATTTGTCATAGTCAATAAATCTACATTGACACATCACTATCAACCAGAGTCCATAGTTTACATGAGGGCTCACTCTTGGTGTTGTACATTGCATGGGTTTGTACATATGGACAATGACGTGGATCCACCATTGTAGTATCACCCAGAGTAGTTTCACTGCCCTAAAAATCCTATCTTTCACCAATTCATTCCTCCTTTCTGCTGACCTCTGGCAACCGTGGATATTTTCACTGTCTCCATAGTTTTGCTTTATCCAGAATGTCATATAGTTGGAATCATACAGTGTGCAGCCTTTTCAGAAGGGCTTCTTTCACTTAGGAGTATGCATTTAAGGTTTCTCCATGTCTTTTTGTGGTTTGATAGCTCATTTCATTTTAGTGCTAAATAACATTCCATTGTCTGGATATGGGCCTAGGCTTCTTTGTTTGTTGTTGTTGTTGTTGTTGTTGTTGTTGTTGTTGTTTGAGATGGGGTTTTGCTCTGTTTCCCCAGCTGGAGTGCAGTGGCACAATCTCAGCTCACTGCAGCCTCCACCTCCGGGGTTCAACCAATTCCGCCACCTCAGCCTCCAGCGTAGCTGCAATTACAGGGGCGTGCCACCACACCCGGCTAATTTTTTGCATTTTTAGTAGAGATGGAATTTCACCATGTTGGCCAGGCTGGTCTCGAACTCCTGACCTCAGGTGATCCATCCGTCTCAGCCTCCCAAAGTGTTGGGATTACAGATGTGAGCCACCACACCTGGCCGGGCCTAGGTTTTTGAAGAAGGAATTGAACTGAGTGTAGGCCAGGTTGTACTGTTGAAGTGTCTTCTTTGTACTTGGAATGTGCTAGGACAGATAGACTTCAAAGTGCAAAGCGCCTGAAGGATCTGGCATTAGTCAATTCTATGCACTGAGCTTCTGTCCCCAGAATACCACTCTCAGAGTAAGAATATGGCAAGGCCGGTTGGATAGGTGGGGCATGGATTGGAGGCTCAGGCCACTGCACTGCACATACAGGTCTTGATGTAAACGGTCTGGTGGAGGTCAAGTTCTGTTTAGCGGGGGTAGACTATGGGACAGACTGAAGAAAGGTAATGGTCTAAACGCAGAAAAAGTTTCATTCCCACTCATGTGACAGTCTGTGGAGCAGGCAGCTCCTCTCCTCATGAACCTGGGACCCAGGTATCTTCCATGTTGTGGCTCTGCTTCTCCAGAGCCTTGTCATTTTTTTCATCTAGCTATAGTGACAAGATCTTTTGGATGAGCCGTCAATATTAAACCAAAGGCAAACTCTGAAAATTGATTTGACGTGTGGTCAGCTGCTCATTTTGCACAGTGTGGGGACTGCTGGGGTGATGGACAAGAAGGTTTTCATGAGGAGGCTGAAGAGATCTAAGTATAGGGGTGCCAGCCTGGGGCACTTCAGAAGGGGCACTAGCCTACGGGTAGCATCAGGGTGATCCTGATTTCCCTGGGTCAGGGTGTGGCTCACGACGGGGTGCTGAGAACCCACCAAGAAGGCAGGAACTTTCAGTACTCATTGTTTTATGAGGGCCTGCCTGTGTGCCAGGTGGGAAGACACTGACCAGAGGCCCAGGGACACTGAAGGGTCTCGGCCTGGTCTCTTGGTGCCTGGGGGGTACACTGTACAAGCGATGATGTAGTTCCAAGGGGCAGGATTCTGACCCACACTCCTGGTGCCAATGTCCATTTTGCCACTCATGTTAGATTTTGCTTCTCTAAGTGAACTTACTCAGGATAGCTGGGTTCTTGGCCATTCTTCCAGTGGTTTTCAAGGGTGAAAAAAGGAGTTTCAGCAAGACAGCTAACATCTGGATGAGTGAGCCAGGAAGTGTCTGTAGCCTTCCTCTAGAGAGCACTCTGGACTGGTGGGCATGAGGACCCCACTTTCATGCGCGTCCATGTGAAGAGGCCACCAAACAGGCTTTGTGTGAGCAACATGGCTGTTTATTTCACCTGGGTGCAGGCGGGCTGAGTCTGAAAAGAGAGTCAGTGAAGGGAGACAGGCGTGGGGCCGTTTTATAGGATTTGCATAGGTAAAGGAAAATTACAGTCAAAGGGGGGTTGTTCTCTGGTGGGCAGAGTGGGGGTCACAAGGTACTCAGTGTGGGAGGTTTTGAGCCAGGATGAGCCAGGAGAAGGAATTTCACAAGACAATGTCATCAGTTAAGGCAGGAACAGGCCATTTTCACTTTTCTTTCTTTTTTTTTTTTTTTTTTTCAGCAACAAGGCTGTTTATTTCACCTGGGTGCAGGCAGGCCGAGTCCGAAAAGAGAGCAAAGGGTGATGGGATTATCATTAATTCTTAAAGGTTTTGGGATAGGCGGTGGAGTTAGGAGCAATGTTTTGTGGGCAGGAGGTGGATCTCACAAAGTACATTCTCAAGGGTGGGGAGAATTATAAATTACAAAGAACCTTCTCAAGGGTGAGGGAGATTACAAAGAACTTTCTTAAGGGTGTTGGAGATTACAAAGTACATCAGTTAGGGTGGGGCAGAAACAAATCACAATGGTGGAATGTCATCAGTTAAGGCTATTTTCACTTCTTTTGTGGATCTGGGATGTGAGGAGAGCCTCTGCCCGGCCTCGCCGTCTGGAAAGTGAGGAGCCCTTCTGCCCGGCCACCCCGTCTGGGAAGTGAGGAGCGCCTCTGCCCGGCCGCCCATCGTCTGGGCAGTGAGGAGAGCCTCTGCCCGGCCGCCCATCGTCTGGGATGTGAGGAGCGCCTCTGCCTGGCCACCCCATCTGGGAACTGAGGAGCGCCTCTGCCCGGCTGCTCTGTCTGGGAGGTCTACCACGGATGCCAGACGCAGTGTGGGGGCTGGACGTGGTGGCTCATGCCTGTAATCCCAGCACTCTGGGAGGCCGAGGCAGGTTGATCACTTGAGGCTAGGGGTTCGAGACCAGCCTGGCCAACATGGCGAAACATATGAAAATTACAACAAAGCAACCAACCAACCAACCCAGCAACAACAAAACAGGTCTACCCTGGAGTTATACTCTAAGTTTTTCTATTTTCCTCCCTTTCTGATCCTTTATCCCACTTTCTTTTTCTTCCTCTTCCTTCTCCTTCTTGTCAAAGACATAGAGGATTGAGTTATTATCATTGATCCATACAAAGTTCCTGTCTCATTTATTTTTCTTTCATTCTCACCCCCATTTCTATTCCCCGTCTTCCCATGTGCAACCTTCCTAATGTGTTTGATATGCATCTTTTTGTTCGTAGGTATTTTTAGAAAATGTTAAATAAAAAAAAAATTTAAAAAAGCCCTGCAAAGGCAGGAAAGCCGAACTGGCTGCTGAGCCCCTTCTGGTTGGCCACACAGTACCCACGCCTGTAGCCCCTGGACTCCTAGTGTGGGCTAAGGTGGAGTGGACCCTCTGGCTTGGTCACAGCACAATGGGCCACCTGGAAACCATCCAAAAGAGAAGAACTACCAGCCCATGCCCTAGGTGCAGCTGCCACCTGCACATCAGGCACCAGCAGCAATGGCCAGACCATCCCTGATTCTCCATGCCCTCCCCATCCCAGCCCCAACAGCAAGGACTCCCTGACAGGACGCTGCAGTAGTGGCTGTCGGGAAGTCGGCTGGGCAGGTGCATAAGGATAAAGATAGACTCTCAGCCCCATCCTGATGGCCACGATGTGCTCATCCCCTGGTAGCTCCTCAGCCCTATCCTAGTGGCCACGGAGTGACATGCAGGCAGCAGCCTTGGGAACCCCGATTGCCCCTCCTCACACGTGCCCATCACACGACTTGGGTGAAGGGGAGGTGAAGTCAGGCTGTGGCCCCAGCGGCGCCATGAGGCCGAGAACCAGTGCTCAGCCTCATCCCCGTGGCTGCAGAGTGCCAAGTGCCAGATCCTGCTCTCTGGGTGCCAGTCAGGAGCAGCTGGCAAGGGCAGCGCAGCCTGTGGGGCCCTCGGGCGTGGCCGGCCGCAGCTCCCGGAAGCCACGTCAGCCCACGGGCGCTGCAGCTGCAGCCGCCACATTGAGCAGGGGTCGCCGAGGATTGGGAATCCCCGAGGAGGCGGGCGCCTCCAGCCGCGCGGACCCCGGGGGCCAGCCCAGCCGCGGCAAGTCAGGTAGTCTGCGGCGGGAGCTCCGGGCATGGGCTTCGGCCCGGGGTGCAGGAGGCGCGCACCCTCTGGCCGGATGGGCGGCACACTCAGGGCCCAGGAGGCCATCCCAGGGGAGCCCCGCCAGCCCCGGCCGGAGCCCGAGCTGCAGCTGCCACCTGCAAGTGGTGCGCTGGCTGCAGCGGTGGCAAACCCGGATCCCATCCTCGCGCCTCGCGCCCATCAGCGCGGACCCCGGGGGCGACGCAGTGACGAAGCAGGGCTGTGGGCCCAGCGGCGGCACCAGGCAGAGAAGCACCACTCAACCCCATCCCTGGGCTGCAGAGGGCCCAGCGCGGGGGGCTCAGAGCATCGGGAGCCGGTGGAAGAGGAGAAGAGCGAGCGGGCGACAGTCAAACAGGCCCTGGGGCAGGGCGCGCCTCGCGCTCCAGGGAGCCCCGCCAGCCCGAGGCACCTGAGCAGCAACCGCCACCTGCACTGGGCACCACGAGACAGCTGCTAGGGCGGTTTCTCTGCCTGGGGCCTGTTGCTCGGACCAGCTAAGGTGCGCCTGCTCACTGGTCCTAACCGTTCTGTTGGGCGTTTCTGCTGAGAGGCGGGAGGCGCTGAGAGTCTGTGCGAAGGTCCGTGGACAGACTGCATTGCTTGTTGTTGCGCTTCGGAGGCGGCGATGCCCGAAGGCAAGCTGAAATACGGCTGGAGCGTTCCCAGGCTACAATTTGCAGCGACGATTATGGAAGACGAGCCAGAGTGGTGGCCCACCCTCAGGGAGCGCTTGTGCTCAGATGGCTTCTCATTTCCCCAATACCACATTAAATCATCTCATCTGAGGAGGATCCACAGAGCTGTCTTCTGTGGTAATCTGGAGAAACTGAACTACCTTCTGTTAACATATCATGACGCTGTCTGAGTAGTTGTCGACCTTGTTTCCACATTAACTGGCTGTTTTGTTGTGGCTGCACTTCTGTTTCATTACCTTCATCTTGCAGGACAGAGTCTTGGCCGCAGACTGAGCCTGTACCTCACCCGTCTCCCACCGTCTCTTGGTACTGGCCACGGCCATGCTGAGCAGCTCTATGGAGGCCTGGTGGGCTAGCTTGGGGGTCCAGCCAGCGGTCCTTTCACAGCTGGGGAGTGGAGCCTGGGCCTGAGGTCTCCTGTGCGCCTCCCAGCGCCTGTGCCAGCGCTGTGTGCCTTTTCATTTTCACTTCTTTTGTGGTGGAATGTCATCAGTTAAGGCAGGAACCTGCCATCTGGATGTGTAGGTGCAGGTCACAGGGGATATGATGGCTTAGCTTGGGCTCAGAGGCCTGACACCCAGGGCAGGCTGGCTCAGCCCCTTTGACTTCAGATTTCAGGGAAGGCCAGGGAGCTGGATTGGGTGCCTGGATTTTCTGAGAATTATGTTTCTGAGAGGATTTTGAGACCTAAACAGGAATACTTTACACACAGGTCATCAAGCAGGAACTGGGAAGTTCCGAAGCTGCCCTCCTTCCCACCACCTCCTCCCTTCAGAGTCCAAGGGCTGCCAAGCTGTCTCCCACACACCTCAGTGAAAAGTCCCTGGCTCTCCTCCCAGCCACCTCGCTGTGACCTTGTGAGGTGTGAGAAGGAGGAAGGGGATCCACGTTCTGGATGAACCTTCCTTCCTCCTTGCCGATAAATAGTTTAGGCCCCTGCGCCTGCTGGGCCTCAGACCTTCTCAGAGCCCAGGGCCCGCTGTGGCTCCTGCAAGCTGCCTGGGAATTCCACGGAGGCTGACTGGCTGCCTGTCTTATTCCCAGTCTGCTGCAACCCATTTCCTAAGCTTGGGTGGCTGAAAACAACAGAAATTCATCCTCTCACAGTTCTGGAGGCCAGAGTCTGAATGCAGGTGTTGGCAGGGCTGTGCTGCCTTTGAAGGTTCTAGGGAAGAATCCTTCCTGACTTTTTCCAGTTTTGGGTGGTGGCCGGCAATACGCGGCATTCCTTGGCTTCAGATGCATCATTCCAGCTGCACACAGCTGTCTTCCCTTTGAGTCTCTTCTTTTCTTCTTATAAGGATACCAGTCATATGGTGTGAAGGGCCCACCTTACTCCAGTATGTCGCCAAGTTAATTCGTTACATCTGCAACCACCCAATTTCCAAATGTCACATTCTGAGGTTCCTGATTGAAGGGGTGGGTTGCCCCTCCACACCTGTGGGCGTTTCTCGTTAGGTGGAATGAGAGACCTGGAAAAGAAAGAGACACAAAGTATAGAGAAAGAAAATAGGGCCCAGGGGACGGGCGTTCAGCATACTGAGGACCCATGCAGGCACCGGCCTCTGAGTTCCCTTAGTATTTATTGATAATTATCAGGCGTTTCCGGAGAGGGGGATTTGGCAGGACAATAGGGTAATAGCCAAGAGAAGGTTAGTAGGAAAACACGTGAACAAAGCTCTCTGCATCTTAAACAAAGTAAAGAATTAAGTGCTGTGCTTTTGATGTGCATACACATAAACATCTTAATCCATTAAAGAGCAGTATTGCTGCCAACATGTCCCACCTCCAGCCCTAAGGTGGTTTTCCCTTATCTCAGTAGATGGAATATACAATCGGACTTGACACCAAGACGTTCCATTGCCCAGGGACAAGCAGGAGACAAATGCCTTCCTCTTATCTCAACTGCAAAGAGGCCTTCCTCTTTCACTAATCCTCCTCAGCACAGACCTTTTATGGGTGTCAGGCTGGGGGACAGTCAGGTCTTTCCCTTCCCAGGAGGCCATATCTCAGGCTATCACATGGGCAGAAACCTTGGACAATACCTGGCTTTTCCAGGCAGAGGTCCCTGTGGACTTCCGCAGTGTTTTGTGTCTCTGGGTACTTGAGATTAGGGAGTGGTGATGACTCTTAACAAGCATGCTGCCTTCAAGCGTTTGTTTAACAAAGCACACCCTGCACAGCCCTTAATCCATTTAACCCTGAGTTGACACAGCACATGTCTCAGGGAGCACAGGGTTGGGGGTAGGGTTACAGATTAACGGCATCTCAAGGCAGAAGAATTTTTCTTAGTACAGAACAAAATGGAGTCTCTTATGTCTACTTTCTACACAGACACAGTAACAATCTGATCTCTCTTGCTTTTCCCCACACTGATGAACGTGAATTTGAGGGGACACCATTCAACCCACAGCAGAGCCCCACCATCACCTCTCTGCACAGGTCACCCTGCCTGTCTTTCCTCTTCAGAACCAAGACAGAGCCAAGAGTGATTTCTTGAAATGAAACTGCATCCTCTCATCCCAATAAGGCATGGCCTCACTAGTGGGAGATGAGCAAATGAAAGCCTCCCTCAGGATGGGCATCCACACGTCCAGGGGATACTCCCCCAATTTTTTTTCCTGGTTTATAAAGGTGCTTCAGGACTTCTTGGCTCCTGGCCGATACCTTAGTGCTTCCTGAAGGGGAAATAGCCCTCCAAACCATTCAGTGGGCCATCCCAGACCAAGTTTTCTGACCCAGACATTGAAACAGGAGGAGTAACCTTATCCCCCTTGCAGGGCAAGCTACAGGGGCATGGCTCGCTTCTCAGTACCCTGCTGCTCAAACCCCTAGAGGGAGCATGCAGACGGGCATGTCGTGGGGAGCGTTTCTGGGCTCTGGCCCCACAGCAGCGTGTGGAATTCAGTTCGGGGTGTTTACAGCTCCCGAAGCCCCAGTGGGCATGTGTTACAGAGGTCTCCTTCAGTTTTGTCATCTGCAGGTGGCTTGTGTTAATCAGCTCAATTAGGCCCTCTGCCTTATCACAAAGACAGAGGGCTTTCTGTATCCCGGGTTCTTGCCCTAGTGTACTTGAAAAATCAGATCGCATGTGGACTTGGAGAATGAATGCAAGATTTTATTGAGTGGAGGAGGTGGCTCTCAGATGGATGGGGAGCCAGAAGGCGGATGCAATGGGAAGGTGGTCTTCCCCTAGAGTCGGGCTGCCTAGCAGCCAGACTCTCCTCCGACAGCCCCCAACTGAATTCCACATCTCCCCACTGTCAAAAGCCTGCCAGCATCTGCTGATGTCTGTCGGTGTGCTCTTCTGCTTCTCTCCTCCTCTCAATGTCCAGCCACTTGTGTCTGTGCCCACTAGGGTCTTGGGTTTTTTATGGGCACAGGATGGGGGTCATAGCAGGCCAGAGTAGTCTTGGAAAATGCAACATTTGGTCATGAAAACAGGAGTGCCAGTTCTCACTAAGGTCCAAAGGCACAAGCCCAAGGGTGGAGCCCTAGCCAGGGACTCCACCCTTCTCTACCCAGCACTCCCCTGCCACCCTTCCATATCAACATGAAAGCTGACATTGGCTCCTGTGCCCCACCTCTGGGCCTGGTTTTGTGACCTCTGCACCAGAGCTGCTAGGGAGGCCCTACCCCACATGTTGTTAACTCAATAGCCCTTCCCCAGGGGAACCAATGTCCTCCTGTCCCCAAACCCAAGGAGGAGTTGTGGGTTCCTGGGCCTCTTGTAACCCGACTGAATATTTTCCAGGTTACCTAACCAAACTCCTGCAAAACCACACCACCTATGACTGTGATGGGGACTATCTGAATCTACAGTGCCCTCGGCATTCTACGATAAGTGTCCAATTGGCATTTTATGGGCAAGATTACCAAATGTGTAGTTCCCAGAAGCCTGCCTCCCAGAAGGAAGATAGCTTAACCTGTGTGGCATCCACCACCTTCCAGGTATTGCCTTTTATAGACAGGTTAAGAAGATACAGTTTCAACAGACACTCTTTCTGTCTCTCTGGGTATAAATATATTTGTGATTATATAGTTCAATCCAAGCAAAACTGATCCATGAAAAATCCCAACTTATACAGATCACCAGTTTTGTAGGTGAGCTATTATTTGCTTCTCAAAGGATTTGTTACCCAACAAAACTAAATAGAATTCCTACCTATTGTAGAGCCCCCTTTGTACACTTCAATATGAATTTATTTGTAGGTTTACTCCTTACTTCAGTATAGCAAAGTACAACCAGGATGGATTCCAACCTCCAGGCCCATATCTCCCATAAATACTCCCGTAGAAAGGGAAGGTGGGTTCTTTAATGGAAACCACAAGTATCTCTTTGAGGCAGACATCTGAACTCATGACTAACTTCTTAGAAAATGTACTCAAAGGGCCAGGCACGGTGGCTCATGCCTGTAGTCCCAGCACTTTGGGAGGCCAAGGCAGGTGGATCACGAAGTCAGGAGATTGAGACCATCCTGGCTCACACGGTGAAACCCTGTCTCTACTAAAAATACAAAAAATTGGCCAGGTGTGGTGGTGGGCTCCTGTAGTCCCAGCTACTCCAGAGGCTGAGGCAGGAGAATGGCATGAACCCGGGAGGTGGAGCTTGCAGTGAGCAGAGATCACGCCACTGCACTCCAGCCTGGGCAACAGAGCGAGACTCCGTCTCCAAAAAAAAAAAAAAAAAAAAAACAAAAAAGAAATCATTATTAAACATTTTTACTAATTAAATGGTTTTGGAGTACATTCTTTAAAAAAAACAATTAACTATGTTTTCTTCAACAGTGCACATGTAATGCCAACTTTGTATGACATTGCAAAGGAAGATTTTACTATGTTAAGCAGATTAAACAAACAAACTTTTCCTTGAATTCTTTGGGAACAAAGTACAACCTGGTCCAAATCATCCTAACCTAGAATGCACCATCAGCTTGATAGTCAGTTGTTCCTGGATTTACCAGATTTGGGGCAGACTTTTCATGCTTCTCTAAAGAGGGATTCTTAACTGACACCGTGCCTTGTTTTTGCCCTTTTCCTAGTAAAGGAAATGATTTGATTTGGTATCATATCATCTTTCTTGCTTTTTTTTTTTTTTAATTAGAGATGAGGCCTTGCTATGTTTCCCAGGCTGGTCTCCAACTTCTGGGCCCAAGCGATCCTCCTGCCTCAGCCTCCCTCCCAAAATGCTGGGATTACAGGTGTGAGCCACTGTGCGTAGCCTCTTTCTTGTCTTTTAAACAAATAAATGTAAGCTGGGCATGGTGTGCATTCATATATTCCCAGGTACTTGAGAAGCTGAGGTGAGAGGATCCCTTGAGCCTAGGTTTGAGCCCAAGAGTTCAAGGCTGCAGTGAGCTATGATTGCACCACTGCACTCCAGCCTGGGTAACAGAGTGAAACCCTGTCTCTAAAAAACTAAACTAATGCTGGGCGTTGTGGCTCACGCCTGTAATCCCAGCACTTTGGGAGGCCGAGGCAGGCAGATCATGAGGTCAGGAGATCGAGACCATCCTGGCTAACATGGTGAAACCCCGTCTCTACTGAAAATACAAAATTATCTGGGCATGGTGGGGCATGCCTGTAATCCCAGCTACTCGGGAGGCTGTGACAAGGAGAATCACTTGAACCTGGTAGGCGGAGTTGCAGTGAGCTGAGATCTCACCACTGCACTCAGCTTGGGTGAGAAGGGTGAAACTCTGTCTCAAAAAAAAAAAAAAAAAAAAGACACGGTCCTGTTTTCATGGGGTGAACAGTTGAGGGAGAAAGGCAAGCATTAACCAAATAGCCAGACACATCAGCATGCCCTATTGTGACAAATGCTATTTTAGAAAAGGGAAGAAGACTATAGCAGTGGAGGGGGCCTATTTTAGCTTGGGGGTGGTGTTTTAAGTCTTCCAAAGAGAAGCATCCTGTAGGGTGAACACTAGGGCATGCACACTAGCTGCACACTAGGGGCTGAGACAGTGAATCTGCTGAGTGGGAGAGGAAAGGTGTTGATGAGGAGGAAGATGGCCCTGGTTTAAACTGTTGAGAACAGTGTCCTGCACACAGTAGGAGCTCCATGAAGAGTGCTTCCTAATGTTTTCACCAACATATCTGAAGTGGAGCAGGAAGGTGATCAATCACACCCCTGTCCCTGACCTCATTCTAAAACAGTTTGAAACAAGGAGATGCAAAAATCTGACAAGTGTGTTGACAATGGTGATTTTAAAGGTCCTAAAAGATTCTCTGGATATCAGAGCCAATTTCACATAGTAGAGGGGCACATTCCCTGCGGTGGCCTGTGTCATACACAGCCAATTTCACCTTTTCACTGCCTGGTTATTCTGCAAAGTGCATCCTAGAATGACCTTCCTCTCTGAGCTCCTCTTCAAAATTCTGATTCTTTCTCAAACTATAAAGCCTCTGGCATTTGCCAAGAGCCAAGGCCCTCCTGAAGCCACAGTTTGAGAACAAGCGAAGAGGCAGACATGAGAAAGAAGTACCACCCCTGGCAGGGAGAGCTGACACTTCCCAGGCTACTGCATCCTTCTCAGGGCCCAGAAATGAATGAGAGGTAATTAAAGCAGAAAGCATTTTGCAGCAGCTCAGCTCAGCTCTTCGAAGCTGCCATGGTCCCAGGATCAGTGGTGTGCCCTGAGGACAGCCAAGGGACATTCCTCGAGGCCCTGGAAATCATCAGCCACCTCCAGCAACTTCACCGGGCCTCCCTGGGAAGTCTCCCTTGCTGATGGGCACGAAGGCACCAGGGCCTCCTGTACATGGAAAACTCACAATCTAGGAATGTCCTGTGGTTGTTGATCCTGGGACATCTCCAGAAGAATTTAGTTAAGCCCTCCAAGAAAGGAAAAAAGGTTTTCTTGCTGCTGAAGATGTCTCACTTGTTCTTTTTTTAAAAAGCAGTGCAGTTGAATTTGCAGTTTGTTTTCACTTTCTTTCCATTTCCTGTTGCTACTTCTCCAAGATCTCAGCTGGGCTGAGGAACTAATAAAAATAAGCAATTTTATGTAGTAGGAATATTCAGTTTCCACTCCCTTCTCCCAGCCTGTGGCAGTGTGCTTGGCCTGCAGAATTCTTGCTCTGCCCTCTGTTTCAGTGGGTGCCGTCATCTGCCAGCTGCTTTGCCTGGGGATTCTGACATCCCAGGGCTTATTCTTAGGGTCAGTTCAGCAGAGTCTTAAACCACCTTCAAAGGAGTCGGTCACGCTGCCGTCCTCTCTGCATCTTTCTGTAGTCCTTTCTGATAATATTTAGCAAATCACTTTAGCACAGAATCTTCGAATTCTTTCCAGATTTACGATGGAAACACAGAGGCAAAGAGCTTGGGGTAGAAAGCAGAAGAGCAGGTGCTGGGAGAGTTTGATGGTGAATTTTGAGTTGGTCACAGTCATTTTGCTTTACTAAGTCCAGGGAAGCTCATCTTCAGAGTTAACCACCATATATATATATATTTTTTTTTTCTTTTTTTTTTTTTTTTTTTTGAGATGGAGTCTTGCTCTGTCACCCAGGCTGAAGTGCAGTGGCACACTCTCAGCTCACTGCAACCTCCACTTCCTGGGTTCAAGTGAGCACGTCCGGCTAATTTTTGTATTTTTTAGTAGAGACGGGGTTTCACCATGTTGGCCAGGCTGGTCTTGAACTCCTGACTCAAGTGATCCACCTGCCTCAGACTCCCAAAGTGCCAGGATTACAGGCGTGAGCCACCATGCCTGGCCCAGAGTTAACCACTCTATTGAGGTGTTGTTTATTTTTCTTAAAATTCTATTACACGTGAATACAATACAATGATTTTTAGTAAATTTAGAGTTGTGCAACCATCACTACCCTCCAGTTTTAAAACATTTTCACAATCCCCCGAAGCTCCCTTATGCCCATTTGCCATCACTGCCCCATTTCCAACCCCCCGGTCCCAGGTAACCACGCATCTACTTTCTCTCTAGATTTGCCTTTTCTGAATATTTCATACAAATGGAATTATGCAATGGATGGTTTTGTGTGTGTGTGCATGGCTGACTTCTTTAACTGAATGTAATATTTCAGAGGTTCATCCATGTTGTAGCATGTATCATATCAGTACTTCACTTTTTTTTTTTTAGAGTTGAAGTCTCACGCTGTCACCCAGACTGGAATGCAGTGGTGCGATGTTCGCTCACTGCCACCTCTGCCTCCCAGGTTCAAGCAATTCTCCCTGCCTCAGCCTCCCAAGTAGCTGGGATTACAGCCGTGTGCCACCACGCCCAGCTCACTTTGTATTTTTAGTACAGACGGGGTTTCGAATATGTTGGCCAGGCTGGTCTCGAACTCCTGACCTCAAGTAATCTGTCCACCTCGACCTCCCAAAGTGGTGGGATTACAGGTGTAAGCCACCATGCCGAGCCTTCACTCCTTTTTATTACTGAGGTGTATTCTGCTGGATGGATATATCATATCTTGTTTTTATTCTCCATTTTTTAAATATTGCAAAATGGGCCTAAAACCACCTCTCTGGAGGATTTGATGATCACATGGATAGCATTGGGTTGTGTGTAAGTATGTGTATCTAACAGGAAGAGTGAGTGACTCTTGCACCGATTTGGAAAGTGATTTTAAAATCTTATCTACATTGCATTTAAAAATATATTGAGTCCACATTTTAAAAATATACCACGTATTTAAAATATTTCTTTTTGGCTTTTAGTTCCCAAGAACATACTCAAAGTGATTGATCCAGCCATTGTTAATCTAAAACCTTTGAAGCAGAAAGATGCTGAATATGGTAATTTTTATGGCTTACTGCCAGCATTTCTTTTTAAGTAAAGGTAAACAGCCCCTGGGTGACCACAGTTGGGCACACCTTGATTAGAATGGAAGGGGCTGTCAGGAGGTGTGTTTGAGGTACCGGTCCTGGTGATGATTAGTGCTTTAGCCAATAGTTGCAATGAAGACCAATTTATTTTGTTTTGACTTTTTTAACATCAGAAGTAGGATAAACCTCCCCTTCATTCTCCTCTCACTTCCTAAAAGGAAAATCACTTTGAAAAGACATCTGCTCAGAAATAAATTTGGGCTTCCTGGGTTACACAATGAGCTTTTTGCAAAGCTGAGCCCATTGGGAGCTGCTGCGTAGGCACCAGTGCCGGCTAGCACCTAAGGACCTCTGTACCTCTGTTCACGCCACCTTCCTCCTTAGTTTCCTTCCTTCCTTCTTTCCTTCCTTCCTTCCTTCCTTTCTTTTGCTTCGGAGTTTCACTCTTCTCACCCAGGGCCGGCTAGGACCTGAGGGCCTCTGTACCTCTGTACACGCCACCTTCCTCCTTAGTTTCCTTCCTCCCTCCCTTCCTCCCTCCCTCCCTCCCTCTCTCCGTTTTCTTCCTTCCTTCCTTCTTCTCCTTCTTTCTTTCTTTCTTGCCCTGTCTCTCTTTCTTTATTCTTCTGTCTCTCTTTCTTTCCCTCCCTCCTTCCCTCTCTCCCTCTCTCCCTCTCTTTCTTTCTTTTTCTCTCTCTCTCTTTCTTTCTTTCCCTCCCTCCCTCTCTCTCTCTCTCTTTCTTTCTTTCTTCTTTCTTTTCTTTCTTTCTTCCTTTCTTTCTTCTTTTTCTTTGGAGTTCTGCTTTTTCTCACCCAGGCTGGAGTGCAGTGGCACAATCTCCACTCACTGCAACCTCTGCCTCTGGGTTCAAGTGATTCTCCTGCCTCAGTCCCCTAAGTAGCTGGGATTATAGGCGTCCACCACCACACCTTGCTAATTTTTGTGCTTTTAGTAGAGATGGGATTTTACCATGTTAGTCAGGCTGGTCTCGAACTCCTGACCTCAGGTGTTCCCGTCGCCTCAGCCTCCCAAACTGCTGGGATTACATGTGTGAACCACTGCACCCGGCCCCTCCTTAGTTTTCACTTGGCTTTTGTAAATGGGGTGGAGGGGTGGGGGGTGGGATGAGGAGGTTGAGCATTTGGATTTTCTTATCAAATCTAGAATGGAATTCAAACCCGTGGGGTCCCTAATAGAAATCGCAGAGACCCAGTAGAGCATCTAAGAATACTTTGGTGAGAGTTTTGTCTTGTGTTACCTTTATTGTATGTATTAGGTCTTTCCCCCCTAAGTATAAAAGTAAAGTATGTTTGATATGAAAACCACATGAAACACCCCTAGTCCAAAAGCTCAGAGAGGACTATGGTAATGTTCTTCGGTGTCCTTTCAGCTGGCCACCTTGGCTTTCTGGCAGGCTCTGTGTTCCTTAGCTCCACTACTCTTTCTTTTTTTAAAAAAATCAACTGATTAATTAACAATTATTATTATTTTTCTAAAGACAGGGCTTTGCCAAGTTGCCCTGGCTGGTCTCGAACTCCCGGGCTCAAGCAATCCACGCACTTCATCCTCCAAAGGTGCTGGGATTACAGGTGTAGGCCACCACACCCAGCCTCCTCTTATTTTTCTAACAGGGTTCCCACCCGATCCATAAACAGCCCGATCCCCCTGCAGTGGGGGCCTGAGAGCCAGCACTGTGCCATCTCTCCTCAAAGGCATCTGTCCTGTCTGACATGGCTAGGAGTCCACCAAGCCACCACCAGGCTACCCTATCACAGGCTTGCTAAGCTCCATCCAGCAGTGTAACCAGGATCTAAAAGCGGATTTGCCTCACGTTTTGCTGTTGTTTCCAAAAAAAAGTAGCCCAATACCACCTCCCTCTGTAAGGGAGGCTTTTTTTATCTCTGGCCACACAGCGGACAGCAACTCCATGCTTAACGTGAGATACTATTGGCCGGGGGTGGTGGCTCACGCCTGTTATCCCAGCACTTTGGGAGGCCAAGGCAGGCAGATCGCCTGAGGTCAGGAGTTCGAGACCAACCTGGCCAACGTGGGGAAGCCCCATCTCTAATAAAAATACAAAAATGTGCTGGTCATGGTGGCATGTGCCTGTAATCCCAGCTACTCAGGAGGCTGAGGCAGGACAATTGCTTGAACCCAGGAGATAGAGGTTGCAGTGAGCCAAGATCGCGCCATTGCACTCCAGCCTGGACAACAAGAGTGAAACTCCATCTCAAAAATAAATAAATAAATAAACAATTAAAATAAACTAAAGGGAGATGTTATTAAGCCTCCAAGGTGTGTGATTAATGTCACTGTCTTTAGGATGGGAAAATCCATTTGTTCCCTTCCACAGTGGAGTGGAAGACCAGCACCTGAAGTTGGAACCAACACTTAAAACAATTTCTAATCCTTTTTGTACTTTAATATTTTCGGGGACTGCTTACTATTTAATAAGTGCTCTTCCTGGGTTAATCTTCTATAATTTAGCCAGAGGCCCCTTTGTTTCATTTCTGTGACTTTTAATTATTCTGGCTGTCCCTGGGGTAGGAACAGCAGAGATCTCTTAGAATAAGCCTACTATGAACAGCTGTGATTAATTGGTTTTGCATTTTTCATGAAACAGGTATGAACTTTGACCCAAGCGAATCGAAGTTTCTGAGGAAAGATGGAATTCTTGTTAGCGACTCTCTGGCAGCCTTTGCTTACATTAGAGATAGGTCAATGAATCAAAGCTTCCTAGAATGCTGATGGATTTACTAAAGTGTTGTTCATAAATGTGCTGTTCAATTATAACACTCAGAGGACTAAAGGACAATGACTTCAAGTTTGACATGCCAACCACCGCTTCTAAGATTCAGAAACACAGAGGCCTGAGTTCAGGCACAGTCGCAATCAGGCAGTCAGCAAGAGAACCACATAAACAGACAAAGTCACACTATTTAGGAGTTGAGCTCCACAGATATTGTTCGCTTTTGAAAAGTAGAAACCCGAGGAATGCATTTCCCAGCTCTAAAATTTGGGAAGGAACTAGAATTATTGAATTCCAACCCTGGCTGGAAGAAAAATGAGCCAGAAGGTCACTTAGTAAACAAGACAGATGATGACCCATGAAGACAGAACCAGTTTCTGGGTCATGAGTGTTATTCCTAATGGTTGCCAAGGTTTCCCTTGTTAGTCTTCCCCATGAGGATCAATCAAACTCAGCCCTCGTGAATTAACAGAGCCAAAAGGCTTATACCAAAGCCGGCCACACCACGGGGACCTCTTCATTGAGGGGAAGGTATGTACAATTTTTCCTCACCACACTCTCTGCTTATCTTAAGATAGAATGCATTTTGGAATGTCATCTGCAAGTTTCAGCAATGCCTGCCTATGTTCAGAGAGACAAAAACCAGAGACTTTCAGTAAAATACATGTTAATGTAACACATAACAGTATTACTATTCAAGGCCTGCAAAGATAGGGCTATTCGGGGTAAGCCTGTCTCAGAGGAAAATAGAGGCTTAGGGAATGTATTTGTCTGTTCTCATGCTACTAATAAAGACATACCTGAGGCTGGGTAATTTATAAAGGAAAGAAGTTTAATGGACTCACAGTTCCACATGGTGAAGAAGGCCTCACAGTCTCGGTGGAAAGTCAAGTCTTACTTGGTAGCAGGCAAGAGAGCTTGTGCAGGGGAAATCCCCTTTATAAAACCATCAGATCTCTTGAGACTTATTCACTATCATGAGAACAGCATGGGAAAGACCCACCCAATGATTCAATTACCTCCCACTACGTCCCTCCCATGACACATGCGGATTAGGGGAGCTACATTTCAAGATGAGATTTGGGTGGGGACACAGCCAAACCATATCAGGGAATGATCTCAATACATGAGATGCAAAGTTCAGTCTCGGGGTCCCCTGATGTTCTATTCTCCTCCTGCATTAGGAGTCCTCCTGTGTGTGTGTGTTTGTGTTGTGTGGTTGTTGGTTTCTTCTGTGGGTCCTCTCTTTTCTAGCCATCTTATCATTTTCATGTCTTGCTGTTCCTGATCATTGTCAATGTTAAGAACCGTAAGGATTTTTCTTGTCAGAAATATCCCCATATTTACAAAGACCCCAGGGAGCTTCTTGGAGAAAAGCCAACATGAAAATCCTCCAGACAGAGAATAACAATTGAAGGGGAATGAGTCTGACATTCTGCTCAGTGAGCTGTGGCCATGCTGTGTGCTTTACCCCAACAACCTTGTCGGTTCCTCTCAACAACTGCCTCAGCCAGCCCAGCTGCCATAACAAAGTACCTGAGGCCACATGGCCTAAATAACAGACATTGATTTTCTCACTGTTCTGGCGGCCAGAAGTTCATGATCAAAGTATCCACCAATCCCTTTCTGGTAAGGGCTGTCTTCCTGCCTTGCAGACAGCAGCCTTCTTGCTTGCCCTCACATGGCAGAGAGGGGGAGAGACAGAGACAGAGACATCTCTTCTTTTTATAAAACCACCAATCCTATCAGATTAGGATTCCACCCTTATGACCTCCTTTAACGTTAATTAGCTCCTAATGAGTGAATTGGGGGGAACACAATTCAGTCCACAGCAACAACCCTGAGAGATGGGACTCTGGTCCCCTGTTCTGCACTTGAAGTCGGTGGTCAGAGGAGTTGAGCCATTTGCCTGAGGACACCATGGACAACGGCAGGGCCAGGATTCAGGCTCAGCTAATACAAGGCTTGCACTCCAGCTACTCTGAATTTTGAGGGATGCAACCACCTCCCCATTCTGATCCTGAGTTGTCTAAATTAGCTTTCCTCCATCCCTTTCTATCCTTTTATGTGATTGTCATTCCCAGAAACCACAGGATAGAGACATTCATTTAGTGACTGTCTCTCCTGCTAGTGGCTCAGCTCCACAGGGGCAGGTGATTTGTCATCTTATTTCGTGTGGTGTCCCTGCATCTAGGATGCGGTGCTGGTACAGAACAGGTGCGCAGTCAGTAGTTAAGGAACAACTGAATGATGACTGCTGATCTGGGCTTATGAGCTTTTTCCTGTGCCTTATTTTCATCCAGTATTTGCTATTTATAAGATGTCAGGTTTTTTTTAATGTAAGGAGTTGATGAGCTGTTATTTGGTTTTATTGAGGGGTGTTTTGGGACATTTATCTCAGCAAACCATGGCCATGCCTCCATATAATGTCCAAGAGAAAGAGTCTCTAAATGCACTGTGTTGGATGTTAGCTAAATGAAATCACCACAAGAAGCTCATGACTTAAATCACAGAGGCTCACAAAGCCCTAGTAGAACGGGCGACTCTGGGCTTGCCTGTAGGTTTTCCTGGTGTGTCTGTATCGCTGTCTGTGTGGCCACTCTAGAGGTGAGAAGCATGCAGCGCATGCTCGGGGGTCTGCAGGCCAGTGTGCCACAGAGGTGCATGTGGACATCAGGCTGGACCATTTCAACCTAAACAGGCAGTGGCCACCAGCCAACGTCACACAGTGCTGAGCTCCATCCTCAATGCTGCTGGAGACAGGTGCCCAGACAACTCTCAGTCGCATCCCCGGCCCCACTGTGGGGATGTGACCCATGGGATGAGCTGGGGTCTCTAGGCACCCCCAAAGCAGGAGCAGCTGGGAGCCAAGAGTGTGAGCAGGGCAGTTTCCAGCCCAAATCACCCAAATAGGTGGCAAATCGAGTGAATCCAAAAGTGCATTTCCCAGGTCAGGCTGCAAGTAGCTTTGACACAGTAGTGCAGTCCAGTGTACATGGGGACAAAGAGATGAGAAACCAAAATCGAGAGATTTGGCCCCGATATTAAAGCACAGAGGTTGGCAGAAGGGAGAGGGAGATGAACAAGTGTTCCTGGTGAAGTGTCTTCTGGGGTCATTTGAATGATCTGTGAGATGGTTTCCCCAACATTGAAAAAGCTTCTTAGGCATGTTTGAATTTACTGTCATTTCAATAATACAGACTTACTCCCTGAATTCATTCTAGAATCAAGATCATGAGTCTGAGGAAGCTCATAGAAAAAAATCGGAAATTAGAGAAATGGAAAAGGAGTGGTGTGTGTGTATGTGTGCATGTGTGAACATGTGTGGGTGTGTGTGCATGTGTGCACGTGTGCACGTGTGCATATGTGTGTGCATGTGTGCACGTGTGTGCACGTGCATGTGTGTGCATATGTGCGTGCGTGTGTGTGCACGTGTGTGCATGTGTGCAAGTGTGCATGTGCATCTGTAAGCATGTGCATGCGTGTGTGCATGTGCATGTGTGTGCATATGTGTGAGCGTGTGTGTGCGTGTGGATGTGTGCATGTGTGTGCGTCTGTGTGTGCATGTGTGTCTGTATCTGTGTGCATGTGTCTGTGTGTGCATCTGTATGTGTATGTGTGCATGTGTGTGTGCACTTGTGCTTTTGTGTGTGCATGTGTATGTGCATGTGTTTGTGTGTACATGTGTGTACATGCGCATCTGTGTGTGCATGTTTGCATGTGTGTGCCTGTATGTGCATACATGTGTATCTCTGTGTGCATCTGTGCATGTGTGTGTGCATGTATGTGTGCATATGTGTGCGTATGTGTCTGTGCATGTGCATGTGTGTTTGCATGTGTGTGCATGCATGTGTATCTCTGTGCATATGTGTATATGTGTGTGCATGTGAGTATGTATTTGTGTGCCTGTGTGTGCATGTGTCTGTATGCATGTGCATGTGTGTGCCTTCGTGTTTGTGTGCATGTGTGTATCTGTGTGTGCATGTGTGTATCTGTGTGTGTCCATGTGTGTGCCTGTACGTATGTGTATCTGTATGTGTGTTTGTGCGTGTGTATCTGTATGTGTGCTTGCATGTGTGTGTAGGTGCAAGTGTGTTTGCATTCATGTGTGTGCATGCATATGTGCGTGTGTATCTGTGTGTGTAAGTGTGTGTTGGAAGTTCTTAGCAAGGCAGTGTAATAGCTGGCTCGGCATGAAACATTTTCCCTTTGCAGATTGTGCACAAGGAGACTTATTTATTTAGACAGTCTTGCATGAGACTATGACCTCTCCTATTCCACCGAATTACTGTTTCATTGACATCTGGCTTTGGGTGTTTACCTCATATGTGCCTGCAGGCATGCCTTTTGTGGCCCAATATTTCCATCGCTGCCCCTGCCCCCTTGGGACAGTGACAGATATGTCATCAGCCTCTGGCAGGCCCTGCTGTGGGCTTTTGGGGCACCTTTTGTGGTATGGGGTAAGGAAGCTGGGCAGAAGGGACAGGCTTGCAGCCTGGGACGTCCTGTGTTGGGAGGCATCATTGTTTCATAAGGGAGGAACTCCAGGGCCACAGACAAGCTCATACTGAAAGAGAAACACAGAAACACGCTCCAGAGTCAGAGCTACGTGATTCCTCCACCAGGGAGGACCACTGGAAATCAGCACCACCTTGTCACGGAGATGTGGATTTGGATGTGTTCCCACGGTCTCCAATCTCTGGTTCCATGACAGAAGGTTTCTGTCACACCCCTAATTGCTGTCAGACCAGCGCTGGGTATGCTTTGTGCTTTCTTCTGGACAACCCTCGGGCCCTGACTGCTGCCTTGATCCTCTCAACAGCAATAGGGCCCCGACAGGGGGAACCCTCGCCATGGCCTCTGGGTGTCTTATCTGGACATGAACGAGCTGGAGTGTGTGTTTGCCCCAAGTCGGGATCTAAGAGTGGAAAGGAGCCTTAAAGGCCATAGGACCCCCTTCGGAGGCTCCCAAGCACATACAGCAGCTGATCAAATTAAAGTCATTCACTCCAGCTGGGGATGAACCAAGGCTAAATTTAAAACAATGCCGGCAATAACACAGTGTGAAGATTCTGTTCAATCACAAGGAAAACTCTCTTTTTCCAGAACACAGAATAGGAAAAGGAGACAAAAAAGTATAAAGTAGTCCAAGTGATTCTAGAGAACAGTTGACATTCCCTTAGTGTAAAGCCTGGGACCATGGAGAGATCCCTGGCCTGAGCTTGGGGTCCCAGCCAAGTGGTGGCTTTGCACAAGTGACTTGACTACAACAAGAGGGGTTGGACCAGCTCATCACTAAGATTCCAGCTGACCAACATCTGGTGAGTTTGTAACTTCAAACTAGTTGGTCCAGATGACTCGGAAGCCTCGTTCCCAGGGACCTGCCAAGCGTTGCCCATGTTATCCATCTCTGGTGGCTGGATCTCAGCAGAGTCGATGCAGACTTGCCCTAAAGAGTGCTCACTTAGCAGGAGGCAGGCCTAGGCCAAGAGGCACCTGGAGTCTTATGAGAGAGAAGCCCTACTGGCAGGAGAACCCAGACACCCTCCTCCCAGGAGAAGAGGAGAGAGAAAAAATGGGAACTGGTTTTATGGAGCCCCATCACCAGGGCGCCAAGCCGAGGGCTTAAATCCATGATTCCCTCCTTTTATGCACTCAGCAAATATTTTCATAATGCCCACTCTGTGCCAGAGATGGCACTGGGGACTTGGCAAAGAACAAGAGGGTTCCAGCCCCTGCCCTCAGGGAGCTTGTATTCTAGGTGGAGAGAAAGGATGGCACCCACTCAGCGAGTGAGTGAGCTTATAAGTTGGGCTGTGAAGAAGACATTCAAGATACTCTGAGACTACATGACAGGGGACCTGGCTAGGCTAAGGCAGGGGGAGGTATCTAGTAGTGCTGGAGGTAGAGGGAGGAAAGAACTTTCCAGGCTAACAGAAGAGCACATGCAGAAACACTAGGGTGCGCAGGCATCTGATGCAACACGAGTGAGGAATGGGAGGACGGAGCAGGGAGCAGAGAGGAAACGGAAGGTCTCGGGAGTTGAACTTGGGGAGGGTGAGAAGGGCCAGATCATAGCCGGCTTCCTAGGCTGTGTTCAGGACTTGACTTTTATTAGGTTGGAGCAAAAGTAATTGTGATTTCCACCATTACTTTTTTTTTTTTTTTTTATCAGAGTCTGTCTCGGTCACCCAGGTTGGAGTGCAGTGGTGTGATCTTGGATCACTGCAACCTCCACCTCCCAGGTTCAACCCATTTTCCTGCCTCATCCTCCCAAGTAGCTGGGACTACAGGTGCACGCCACCACCCCCAGCTAATTTTAATTTTTGTATTTTTAGTAGAGATGGGGTTTCACCATGTTGCCCAGGCTGATCTCAAACTGCTGACCTCAAGTGATCCACCTGCCTCGGTCTCCCAAACTGCTGGAATTACAGGTGTGAGCCACCATGCCCAGCCAATTTCTGCCATTACTTTTAATGGAAACAGCAATTACTTTTGCACCAACCTAATAGCTTAGGAGAGGGAAGAGGTCATCTATATGTTTTAAGTCAGGCAGTAGTGTGACCCAACATGTATTTCTGAAAGATTATAGAGGCCATGCAGGAAAGATGATTTCCATATGGTCTGTGGTTGCTTTTGCACTACAACAGCAGAGCTGTTATATTTGCAACAGAGACCACATGGCCCATAAATCTGCAATAGTTCCTATCTGGCCATTCACTAGAAGAGGGGGGGCAAGAGAGCAGGATGGGGCCCAAGTGCCTGCAGGGAAGATGGAGCAGAACAGTGTTTCATCTCTGTTTTTCAGATAATTTCATGAGGTCGAAAGACATCTTAATGAAAGTGAAAGTACAAGGTATTTACCAGGAGATATTCACACCAGATGCCATGTCTCACACCTGCAATCCCAGCTTCACACCAGGTGCAATGGCTCACACCTGTAATCCCAGTAGTTGGGGAGGCCAAGGCAGGAGGATCACTTTCAGCCAGGAGTTTAAGACCAGCCTGGGCAAAAAAGTCAGACCTCATCTCTACAAAAAAATATAATAAAAAGTTAGCCGGTCATGGTAGTACATGCTTGTAGTCCCAGCTACTCAGGAGGCTGAGGTGAGAGGATTGTTTGAGCCCAGAAATTCAAGGCCACAGCACGCTATGATTGTGCCACTGCACTCCAGTCTGGGTGAAAAAGGGAGACTCTCTCTCTTTCTCGCTCTCTCTCTCACTCTCTCTCTCTATATATATATGTGTGTGTGTATATATGTGTATATATATGTATATATATGTGTATATATATGTATATATATATATACTCACAATATATTTGCTGTCAAAGTATTATCATCAAAAGTCTATAGAAAATATACACATCCTTGGGCTGGGCACAGTCGCTCATGCCTGTAATCCTAATACTTTGGGAAGTTGAGGCGGGTGGATCACCTAAGCTCAGGAGTTCAAGACCAGCTTGGCCAACATGGCAAACCCCATCTCTCCTAAAAATACAAAAATTAGCTGGTGTGGTGGCATGCACCTGTAATCTCAGCTACTCAGGAGGCTGAGGCACAAGAATCGCTCGAACCCGGCAGGCAGAGGTTGCAGTAAGCCCAGATTGTGCCACTGCACTACAGCCTGTGCAACAGAGTGAGACTCCATGAAAACGCAAAACAAAACAAAATAAAACCAAACCAAGAAAAAAACAACAAAAACAAACAGGCACTTCTGACGCAGGCTGCAACATGCATGAACCTTGAAGACATTATCGTCAGTGAAATAAATAAATCCCAAAAGGATAAACATGCCCAGGCTCAGTGCTCACACCTGTAACCCCAGCATTTTGGGAGGCTGAGGCAGGCGGATCACTTAAGCTCAGGAGTTCGAGACAAGCCTGGCCAATATGGTGAAAGCTCGTCTCTACTAAAAATACAAAAATTAGCTGGGCGTGATAACGCATGCCTGTAATCCCAGCTACTCGGGAGACTGAGACACAAGAATCGCTTGAACCCCCGATGTGGAGGTTGCAGTGAGCCGAGATCATGCCACTGCACTCCAGCCTGGGCAACAGAGAAAGACTCTGTCTCCAAAAAAATAAATAAACACGGTATGATTCCAATTATCTATCAAGTGTCTAGAGTAGTTAGACTCCTAGAGTTGCAAACTAGAAAGGTGGCACTCAGGGGTGGGCGAGAGAGAGGAGTGGAGAGCTTGGTGAATGGTTGCAATTTCCATTTTGAAAGATAAAACCGTTCCGGAGATGATGGCGGTGATTGTTGCTAAACAATGTGAACGTACTTAATGTCATTAAACTGTAAACTGAAAAAGAGTGGAAACTGTAAATGTTTATACTGGCCATTCTATATGAACTAATATATATTTATAATTTTTAACATTTATATGTGGTATATTTCCCCATAATAAAAGATGAAAATTAAAGCAGTTGGATCTTTAAAAAGAAAAGAAAGAAACAAAGAATACACACCAGCTTTCTCCTGATTAGAGGAAGAGCCCCAAAGCTTCTATGGACACTCACTTTTCTCTTCTTCTTCTTGCATGATGAGAAGGAAATCTTTAGAGGTTGGGGAACTTGGGTGACATTGGCTAATGAGGAGCTCTGTGCCTTGAGCCCCCCAGGCCACAGAACAGTAAATAGTCTGTGCCTCCTGTCCTGCAGTGTGAGGTTGCAGTCCTGTGGGCTCCACAGCCGTCACCTGTATCAGGAGTCTCATGTCTCACCCTGTCTTCTTGCCAGCCTTGAGGATGGAGTCTGAGCATCCATCGTGCACCACACAGGGAGGACAGTGGACCTGCTCTCCGTGGTCATGGCTCATCAGAGGGGAAGGACAGTTCAGTGAGTGTAGGCAAAAGAAAGAGAGATCAGACTGTTACTGTGTCTATGTAGAAAGGAAAGACATAAGAGACTCCATTTTGAAAAAGACCTGTACTTTCAACAATTGCTTTGCTGAGATGTTGTTCATCTGTAGCTTTGCCCCAGCCACTTTGACCCAACCTGAAGCTCAGAAAAACATGTGTTGTATGAAATCAAGTTTTAAGGGATCTAGGGCTGTGCAGGACATGCCTTGTTAACAAGATGTTTCCAAGCAGTATACTTGGTAAAAGTCATCGCCATTCTCCAGTCTCAATAAACCAGGGGCACAATACACTGTGGAAAGCCGCAGGGAGCCCTGCCCTTGAAAGTGGCGTATTGTCCAAGGTTTCTCCCCATGTGATAGTCTGAAATGTGGTCTCGTGGGAGGAGAAAGACCTGACCGTCCCCCCACCCGACCCCCGTAAAGGGTCTGTGCTGAGGTGGATTAGTCAAAGAGGAAAGCCTCTTGCAGTTGAGAGAGAGGAAGGCCACTGTCTCCTGCCTGCCCCTGGGAACTGAACATCTCAGTATAAAACCCGATTGTACATTTGTTCAATTCTGAGATGGGGGAAAAACCCACCCTATGGTGGGAGGTGAGACATGTTTGCAGCAATGCTGCCTTGTTATTCTTTACTCCACTGAGATGTTTGGGTGGAGAGAAACATAAATCTGGCTTATGTACACGTCCAGTCATAGTACCTTCCCGTGAATTTCTTTATGACATAGATTCTGTTGCTCACATGTTCGTTGCTGACCTTCTCCTTATTATCACCCTGCCCTCCTACTACATTCCTTTTTGCTAAAATAATAAAAATAATAATCAATAAAAACTGAGGGAACTAAGAGGCCAGTGCCGGTGCAGATCCTTGGCATGCTGAGCGCCGGTCCCCTGGGCTCACTGTTGTTTCTCTATACTTTGTCTCTGTGTCTTATTTCTTTCCTCAGTCTCTCATCCCATCCGACTAGAAATACCCACAGGTGTGGAGGGGCAGGCCACCCCTTCAAGTGAGTGCTGAGGGACGGTCGGGAGCCTTGTTTGGTTTCCTCCTCCGCAGGACAAACAGGAGAGTGCGGTGGGCAGATGGGAGGAGACCAATGTGCAAACTGTCCGCTCAGCAGACTGTGCAGTTTCTGTTCTTGGTTGTGCTGGGGGTCTCAGAAATCTTATTCAAAATTTTGCTTTCCTCCCCCACTGGTTGTCCTTTTCATAGACATCTCACCCATGATAGCAGAGAATCAGTCCCTCTAAACTATTCCCTAAGAACAACAAAAAGATTATGAAGGTGATGATGAGGATAAAGAGGATGACGGCAGACACCATGGCATCATGAACCCTTACTGAGGGCTTCCTAAAGGCCAGGCTCTGAGCTCTGTGCTCTATGCAGCTTGTTTCATTTCATCTGCGTAGTCTCCACGTTATTAGTGCACATTTCACGATGATTTTACAGACTAGAAAAGGAGCAACACCTTTTCATAGAACTCGTACTAGATTATGAAGTCAAAAAGGGTGAAGTCCAATTTGAACCAGGCAGTCTAAGTCCAGACACATGGCATTTGGCCAGTCCTCTCCCTGCAACCAACCTGCCTTCTCAAATCCTCGCCACTCAGGCGGATGCCCCTGCTCACTGTGCCCTTCCCTTTGGGGGTTCCTTGTAGACCACAGCTAGACAAGTGGGTGCTACAATCACTGTGTCAAGTATAGAAAGGACAGCTGAGATCACATCGAGGATTCCAGAAAGAATTGGCACAGGATCATTTGGGACGCATCTCTCCCTTGCCCCTGTTCCTGGCTTTCCTTACAGCTCTCGACTTCCTCAAAGGAGTCATCAATTCGGAGTTTGGCTTCCATTCCTATTGAGGAAGCTGGAAAGCATTTCAAAAATGCTCCTCTGATGTGCCTGTGGTTAAGACCTCTGAGCTCTGCTTAAAACTTTTTGAAGCTGGGCGCGGTGGCTCACGCGTGTAATCCCAGCCCTTTGGGAGGCTGAGGCACGCGAATCACAAGGTCAGGATTTCGAGACCAGCCTGACCAACATAGTGAAACCACGTGTCTACTCAAAATAGAAAAAATGAGCCAGGCGTAGTGGCGGGCATCTCTCATCTCAGCTACTTGGCAGGCTGAGGCAGGAGAATAGCTTGAACCTGGGATGCAGAGGTTGCAGTGAGCCGAGATCACTCCACTGCACTCCAGTCTGGGCAACAGAACGATACTCCGTCTCAAAACAACAAAAACCAAAACCAAAACCAAAAAAACCCACAACTTTTTGAGAGTCGGAAGACCAGGAAGTATAGTACCCGGGACTTCGAGTCTGGCCATGAATTTTGAATACCACCCTTTCTACTTCTCTGTATGGCAAGGGGTGAGAAGTCCATCCTCTGAGACTCAGCACTCTCATCTGACTTGATTTCCAGTTGATCCGATGGAAGTGAGTGATGATTAAGCCGATCGTGGGTGCCCGCTGCGTGATCTCTAGGTGACGGACGCATAAAGTAAAGGTAAAGTGAATTTTAGATACATTCCTTAAGATTTTCAGCTTCAACTCCAAACAATTCAACGGAAATATCCCCTGACCTGAAGTTCTGCTTTCCCTGCATTCCAGACAGGACATTTTGTTTTGCCCTTCTCCCAGCAAGGACTGAGTACTGTGAGAGGAACAAGTGAGTCTCTTTTGTTTCTGATTCCCCAGAGCCTATATCTTGCTTGGCACCTAGGAGACAGCAAAAGTCAAAATCTATGTTAATGATTGAATTGACACTTCCTTGTTCACCAAAATTGGCTGTCATCAGCGTGACTTTGACTTACTTGATTCTTTTTGTTTTTTGTTTTTTGAGACAGAGTTTTGCTCTGGTTGCCCAGGCTGGCGTGCAGTGGTGTGATTTCGGCTCACTGTAGTCTCTGCCTCCCAGGTTCAAGCCGTTCTCCTGCCTCAGCCTCCCGAGTAGCTGGGACTACAGGCATGCGCCACCATACCGGGCGAAGGTTTTGTATTTTTAGTAGAGGAGGGGTTTCACCATGTTGGCCAGGATGGTCTTGATCTCCTGACCCTGTGATCTGCCCTCCTCGGCCTCCCAAAGTGCTGGGATTACAGGCATGAGCCACCACGTCCGGCCAAACGTTCTGATGAAAACTTTAAGTCCACTGAAGCTAAGGACAGGAGTTATAGCTTCCATGAATTTTAAAACAAGACCCATCGATTTGAGTAAGCAATTACTCTCTCGAAGGAGAAAAGTCCGAAAACAGAATGATGAAATCACTAGGACCTAACTGGCATGTGGAACTATTTTCTGCTTATGAACTATCAACTTTCATTTCATTTCCAGATGGCATGGTCTCAGCTGTTATACAGCGTTTACAAATGTTCTAAATCAAGGGAATTTGTATCAATCTAGTAGAATAAATAAAGTATTTGAGTTCTTAATTTCCTTTAATTAGGATAACCTTTTTCTTAAAGTGAGGACAATGGTTTTATTACATCTTTTCCTTCGGAAAAGATAGGCTGTATTTTCTAGCAATTACGAATTTGTTATATATGATGATCTGGTTTTGGAACGTTCTTGAATCTAGTGTCTCTAAGGCAGGTGTGTACAGCAAGACGTGAATAACACAGCAATCAATGTTGAAAGCATTATAAGGCAATTGAGTTTGTCAGAACTACAAATATTACTGAGTGTGGGTTGCTCTGAAATCTGAAAACATTACTTGTGAATTGCGTCTATCCAAAATGCAGACACAATGCTGGGTATTGGTTTACTTGTTTCCGATTTTTCAACCCTCTTTTCCAGGCAAAAGAGGGTTGTATCCAAACGATACAGACCCACAGAGTCTAACAGATGTCTCTATATTCCTCCTCCTCGAACTCTCAGAGGATCCAGAACTGCAGCCGGTCCTCGCTGGGCTGTTCCTGTCCATGTGCCTGGTCACGGTGCTCAGGAACCTGCTCATCATCCTGGCCATCAGCCCTGACTCCCACCTCCACACCCCCATGTACTTCTTCCTCTCCAACCTGTCCTTTCCTGACATCGGTTTCACCTCCACCACAGTCCCCAAGATGATTGTGGACATCCAGTCTCACAGCAGAGTCATCTCCTATGCAGGCTGCCTGACTCAGATGTCTCTCTTTGCCATTTTTGGAGACATGGAAGAGAGACATGTTCCTGAGTGTGGTGGCCTATGACCGGTTTGTAGCCATCTGTCACCCTCTATATCGTTCAGCCATCTTAAACCCCTGTTTCTGTGGCTTCCTAGATTCGTTGTCCTTGTTTTTTTTTTTT
The DNA here is from genome assembly GCF_000001405.40 of Homo sapiens. NCBI lineage: Eukaryota > Metazoa > Chordata > Mammalia > Primates > Hominidae > Homo > Homo sapiens. The sequence continues at coordinate 7,256 of NW_021159989.1, read as the reverse complement.
TTTTTTCTCAGTCTTTTAGACTCCCAGCTGCACAACTTGATTGCCTTACAAACGACCTGCTTCAAGGATGTGGAAATTCCTAATTTCTTCTGGGAACCTTCTCAACTCCCCCATCTTGCATGTTGTGACATCTTCACCAGGAACATCAACCTGTATTTCCCTGCTGCCATATTTGGTTTTCTTCCCATCTCGGGGACGCTTTTCTCTTACTATAAAATTGTTTCCTTCATTCTGAGGGTTTCATCATCAGGTGGGAAGTATAAACCTTCTCCGCCTGTGGGTCTCATCTGTCAGTTGTTTACTGATTTTATGGAACAGGCTTTGGAGGGTACCTCAGTTCAGATGTGTCATCTTCCCCGAGAAAGGGTGCAGTGGCCTCAGTGATGTACACGGTGGTCACCCCCATGCTGAACCCCTTCATCTACAGCCTGAGAAACGGGGATATTAAAAGTGTCCTGCGGCAGCCGCACGGCAGCACAGTCTAATCTCAATATCTTCTTATCTGTTCCATTCCTTTTGTAGTGTGGGTTAAAAAAGGCAGCAAGGTCAAATAAGAATGATATCACAGGGTGAGCACCCACTGTGACATTACGAGTAATACCTCCCTAGGATATAAAAAATACTGTCACAGAGTACACACACATGGGGTACACCCACGGTGATATTAGAAGCACTATCTTCCTTAAATATTAAGAAAAATATCACAGGGTGTGCACACTGTGTGATATGAGGAGTCATATTTACCCTGGATATCACGACTCATATCAAGGGTGTACACACACCGGCTACACGCACTGTGATATCAGGAGTTGCATCTCCCTAGGATATTATGAATAATATCACAGGGTATACACTATGTGTGAACATCCACTGTGATATTTGAAGTCATATCTCTCTACGAGATTACAAATAATATCAAAGTGTGTACACCCCTGTGACATATTAGGAGTAACATCCTTCTAGGGTATTGTAGATAACATCACAATGTGTACACCTTCTGTGACCTTTTGTGCACACTTTGTGCCATTCAAGGAAACATCCCCCTAGGATATTACGAATAATGACACAGGCGGTTGACACACATGGTGTACATCTCCTGTGCCATCAGGAGTAATATTCCCCTAGGATATTACGAATAATATCACAGCAGGTGTACACATATGGTGTTCACCACCTGAGACATTAGGAGGAACATGCCCCTAGGATATTAGGAATAGTAACACAGGCGTTGAATACGCATGATATAGACCCCCGGTGACATTGAAAGTAGCCTGCCCCTAGGATATTAGGAATAGTAACACAGGCATTGAATACGCATGATATAGACCCCCGGTGACATTGAAAGTAACATCTCCCTAGGATATTATGAATAATATCACAGGGAGTACACCCAATGTGACATTAGGAGTAACATCCCCCGAGGATATAACGAATAATATCAGGGGGCGTACATACATTGTGACCTTAGTGGTAACATCTCTTTAGGATATTACCAATAATATCACAGGGTGTCCACTGACCGTGATATTAGGAGTCCCATTTTCCTAGGATATTATGGATAATATCACAGGAGGTGTTCACACACAATGTGTACACCATGGGTGTACACCCAATGTGATATTTGAAGTCATATATCCCTAGGATCTTACGAATATTATCAAAGGGTGTACACCCCATGTGACATTAAAAGTAACATCCCTTTTGGATATTCCGAATGCTATCACAGGGTGTGATATTAGGAGTGCGATATTAGGAGTAACCTCTTCCTAGGATAACCCATGTGATATTAGGAGTAACCCCTTCCTAGGATATTACGAATAACATCACAGGGTGTACACCCCTGTGACTTTAAAAGTAACACCCCCCTAGAATATTACAATAATATAACAGGGTGTACAACCCCTGTGACATTACGAGTAACATCTCCCTAGGATATTTCGAATGATGTCACTGGGGGCACACTCTCTGTGATATTAGCAGCAACATCTTTCTAGGAGATTACTAATGATATCACAGGGTGTACACTCACTGTGATATTAGAAGGAATATCTCCCTAGGATATAAGTTATCACATCACAGAGTGTACACACGTGGTGTAAAACTACTGTGTTATTAGAAGCAATATCTCCCTATGATATTATGAAAAATATCATATGGTGTACCCTCTGTGGGATACTAGAAGTAATGTTTACCATGGATATTACAAATAATATCACAGGGTGCACACACATGGGGTACACCCACTGTGATATTAGGAGTTATATCTCCCTAATATATTACAAATAATATCCCAGTGGGTGTAGCCCATGTGTGTACACCCACTGTGATCATTAAAGTAATATCTCTCTATAAGATTACAAATAATATCGAAGGCTGTAGACCCCCTGTGACATTAGGGGTAACATCCCCTTACAATATTGGGAGCAATATCATACAGTGTACACCCCTGTAACGTTAGGGGTAACATCCCCCCAGAATATTACTCATAATATCACAAGGTGTACACGCATTGTGACATTAGTAGTAATATCCAGCTAGCATATTTGCAATAATATCACAGAAGGAACACACCTGTGACATTAAGAGTGACATCTCCCTAGAATAGTAAGAATACTATCACAGGGTGTACACCCCCTGTGATATTAGGAGAATCATCTCACCAGAATATTACGAATAATGTCACAGGGTGTTATCTTCTGTGACATTAGGAGTATAGACCTCTGGGAAATTATGAATACTACCACAGGGTGTACACCCCTGTGACATTAGGAGTAAAATCCTTCTAGAATATAATGAATAATATCACAATGTGTACACCCCCTGTGTCATTAACAGTACAATTGCCCTAGGATATTATGAAATAGAACACAGGGAGTACACACCCTGTGACATTAGAAGTCACATCCCCTGAGGATATAACAAATAATATCAGAGAATGTACATGCATTGGGACATCAGTAGTCACATCTCTTTAGGATAATACGAACAGTATCAAAGGGTGTACATGCATTGTGAAATTAGTAGTGAACTCCCGCTGGGATATTATGAATTTTATGACAGGGTCTACACGCCCTGTGACATTAGTAGTCACGTTTTCCTAGAATATGATGAAGAATACTAAAGTGTGTACAGGACCTGTGATTTACGAGTAACATTTCTATAGAAGATTACACATAATATCACTGTGTGTACACCCCGTGTGACGTTAGGAGTCACATCACACAAAACTATAACGAAAAATTTCACAAGGTGTGCAACATCTGTGACATTAAAAGTAACATTTCCCTAGAATATGACGATAATATCACAGAGTGTACACCCTCGGTGATATGAGGAGTGACATCTTATAAGGGTAATATGAGTAATTTGACAAGGTGTACAAACCCTGTGACATAAGGAGTGACATCCCTCCAGGATATTCCGAATCATACCTAAGGGAAAATATTCCGTGTGACAATAAAATCAACCTCCCCTTATGAGATTAAGAATAATAGCACAAGCTGTACACACATTGTGACATTATTATTAACGTCCCGCTAGGGTATTGCGAACAATATCAGAGTGTGTAGAGACTTGTGACATCAGGATTCACATTTCGCTACAATATCACGAATAATATCACAGGGTGTATACCCGCGGGGACTTACACAGTGACACCTTCCTAGAATATGGAAAATAATGTCCCAGGGTGTTAACCAAGTGTGGCAGTACAGAAAACATACTAGGAGAAGGGGAGTAATATCACCCCCTCTTGCCCCCCTGGCTCTTAGGACCCCCATCGCAGGGGGGCGAGGCAGCCCCCGCGATGAGGGGAGTAAGAAATAGCCAGCCCCTCTTGCTCCCCTGGCTCGTAGGACCCACATCACAGTGGGGCGAGGCGCCCCCCGAGATGCCGGGAGTAAGAAAGAGCCAGCCCCTCTTGCCCCCCTGGCTCTTAGGATCCGCGGTGGACTCACAGCCTGTTTATCATATTGTGAGTAATATCATCTCCCCCTCTGGAGATTATGAACTGTTTCACAGACCGGTGTACAACCTGGGTGTACAGAAGTTGTACACCCGTCTGTATGGGGAGTCATATCATCATTTTCCTCCCTGAATATTAGGAACAGTATCACAGGGCTGTTTCTACTCTCTGGGATATCGGGTGTCATGTCCTCCTCTCCCATGTTGCAATTGGAAACAATATCACTGGGGGCATGTCCACCTTGTGTGATATTGAAAGTAATATTATCCTCTTCCCTCCAGGATCATGGGAACAATATCCTTGGGGGTGTCCACTTTCTGCCATATATGTAGTCATATCAACCCCTCCGTCTTGGAATATTTTTAAGGACCACCTCACAAGGGGGTGTACACTTCCTGCGATGTTGGGAGTAATAGCATTCTCTTCTTCCGTGAATATTAGGAGCAAAATCACCGGATGGATGCACACCCAGTGTTATATTGGGAGTAACGTCATACTCCAACCCCTGGAGATTATATTCGGATCAATATCACCGCCTGTGTGTACACCTACTGCGATATTGAACGTAATATCATGCTCTCTCCCTCCCTGGACATTAGGAGCAATATCACACGTGGGTGTACACCCACTGAGGTATTAGGGCATAATATTAGTATGAATTATTCCTCATTTATTATTAACATGAATATGAATGACTGATATTAATATTAATATTAAGAAATAATTGCTAATAAAAAGTTTTCAGATTATTATTAATATTAATTATTAGGAGCTAATATTACTGTTTTCTAATGAATAAGATCAATATCAGTTATTAATATCAGGCTTCATTAATCATTAATATTAATCATGTATTCTTATCGTTAGTATAACTAATATTAATTATCATTATTATCAGTATTGATTTTAAAAATTATATTATGGGTTATTAATATTGATAATTATTAGTGTCAATTGATAATTGAGATTATTAATTGCGGTAAGTCGCATTGCTCCATTGCACCCCTCCCTCGGCAGCTCGTTTATGACCCAAAACAGGGACACAAATGCCCCTGAGAGAGCAGCGGTAGACTGGGATAGATGAGGATGGTCACGTGGTGGAGAGGCGTGTTTTTTGTTACCAGCCCTTCACCTGCGTCAACCTTCTCAACTGGAAAAACAATACACCGCCCTATACCGAAAAGCCACAAGCCCTAATTGATTTGCTCCAAGCTATTATCCAGACCCACAACCCCACCTGGGCTGATTGGCACCAGTTGCTCATGTTCCTCTTTAACAGCGAAGAAAGGCGGAGAGTCCTCCAAGCAGCAACTAAGTGGCCAGAGGAATATGCACCAGCTGATTATCAAAACCCCCAAGAGTATGGAAGGACTCAGTGGCCAGGAACCGACGCCCAGTTGGACCCACATGAAAGAGAGGATATGGAAAGGCTAAACCGAGACAGGGAAGCTCTCTTGGAAGGATTAACGAGTGGAGCTCAGAAGGCCACAAACATTAACAAGCTCTCTGAGGTCATTCAGGGAAAAGAAGAAAGTCCAGCACAATTGTACGAGAGACTGTGGGAGGCCTATCGTATGTATACTCTCTTTGATCCCGATAACCCTGAAAATCAGCGCATGATTCACATGGCTTTAGTCCGTCAAAGCGCAGAAGACATGAGAAGAAAACTGCAGAAACAGGCTGGGCTTGCAGGGATGAATACATCACAATTACTAGAAATAGCTAGCCAGGTGTTTGTAAACAGGGATGCAGTAAGCCGTAAGGAAAACGGCAAAGAGAATGGAGGTCAGGCCCGGCGACACGCCGACCTGTTTGTCAGCTGCAGCAATCAGAGGGGCCTCCCCAAAGAGGCAAGGGAAGGGGGGCCCTGGGAAAGAAACTCAGCTTGGCTGTCAGAGTTTGCAGCGTAACCAGTGTGCTCATGGTAAAGAAATAGGACAGTGGAAGAACAAATGCCCTCAGCTCAAAAGAAAACAAGGTGACTCAGAGCAGGAGGCCCCGGACAAGGAGGAAGGGGCCCTGCTCAACCTGCAGAAGGGTTCTTGGACTGAGGGAGACTGGGCTCAAGCGTCCCCAAAGAGCCTCTGGTCAGAATGACAGTCGGGGGTGGAGACATTGACTTTCTTGTAGATAGCGGTGCGCAACAGTCGCTAGTAACAGCCCCAGTCGCCCTCTTATCCAAAAAGACTATTGACGTCATTGGAGCCACAGGGGTTTCAGCAAGGCAAGCTTTCTGCTTGCCTCGGACTTGTACTGTAGGAGGACATAAAGTCATTCATCAGTTTTGGTACATGCCTGACTGTCCCTTGACCTTTTTGGGAAGGGACTTGCTCAGCAAGCTGGGAGCCACTATCTCTTTGACAGAGAATGGCTCTTCTCTGCTAAAGTTACCCGGAACGGGAGTCATTATGACCCTTATGGTCCCCTGAGAGGAGGAATGGAGACTTTTCTTAAATGAGCCGGGCCAAGAGAGAAGACCAGCTCTGGCTAAGCCGTGGCCAAAAGTACGGGCAGAAGACAACCTTCCAGGATTGGCCAGTTAAGACTGGGGCCCAGCCGGTGAGGCAAAAACAGGAGCCGGTCCCCAGAGAAGCCCTTCAAGGTATCCAGGTCTGTCTCAAGCACCTAAGAACTTATGGAATTATTGTTCCTTGTCAGTGTCCATGGAACACTCCCCTCCTGCCTGTTCCCAAGCCACAGACCAAGGACTACCGGCCGGTACAGGATTTGCGCTTTCTTCTTCAAGCTACACTGACTTTACATCCAACAGTACCTAACCCGTCCACATTGTTGGGGTTGCCGCCAGCTGAGAACAGCTGGTTCACCTGCTTGGACCTGAAAGACGCTTTCTTTCCTATCAGATTAGCCCCTGAGAGGCAGAAGCTGTTTGCCTTTCAGTGGGAAGATCCGGAGTCAGGTGTCACTACTCAGTACACTTGGACCGGGCTTCCCCAAGGGTTCAAGAACTTCCCCACCATCTTCGGGGAGGCGTGGGCTCGAGACCTCCAGAATTTTCCCAGCAGAGGCCTAGGCTGCGTGTTGCTCCAGTAGGTTGATGACCTTCTGCTGGGACACCCCACGGCATTCGGGTGTGCCAAGGGAACAGATGCCCTACACCAGCACCTGGAGGACGGTGGGTAGAAGGTGTCCAAGAAGAAAGCTCAGATTTGCCGACAGCAGGTACGTTACTTGGGATTTACTATCCGACAGGGGTCGGAACGCAGCCCGGGATCAGAATGAAAGCAGGTCATTTGCAATCTAGCGGAGCCTAAGAGCAGAAGGCAGGTGAGAG